>NC_000010.11:18343333-18494848 GCF_000001405.40 Homo sapiens | reverse complement strand
CCTCAAGTAATCCTCCCCCCTCAGCCTCCTAAGGATGTAGTCTTCATCAAACTCAGTTTTACCACTAGAAATACAATTTCCATTAGTAGATCCATCCATTATTCAGAAAAGTTTCTGATCACAAAAGTATAGATCCAAGATTTAAAAAAAAAAATTGTAGCATGGTCTTTCACATCTTTCAGATGTTTCTTTTCTTTTCTTTTTTTTTTTTTTTTTTGAGACGGAGTCTCACTCTGTCACCCAGGCTGGAGTGCAATGGCACGATCTCGGCTCACTGCAAACTCCGCCTCCTGGGTTCATGCCATTCTCCTGCCTCAGCCTCCCGAGTAGCTGGGACTACAGGTGCCCGCCACCATGCCCGGCTAATTTTTTTTTGTATTTTTAGTAGAGATGGGGTTTCACCGTGTTAGCCAGGATGGTCTCGATCTCCTGACCTTGTGATCCACCCACCTCGGCCTCCCAAAGTGCTGGGATTACAGGCGTGAGCCACCGCACCCAGCCCAGATGTTTCTTTTATTCCTTGGAAGATACAGAGTTTAAGCATCACATATAGTTTTTCATCAATGTAAGACACATTTTTAATGCCTGACTCGACAGAAGACCCCATAGAAAATCTTATGACTTCTACCAACTTTTTATCACTTTTCAATCATCTGAGTAGCAGAAAGAGGGGACTGAAAAAGGAAAAAGAAATTAAAGTGGTGGTGGAAATTGGTGTATAATTCCAGAGACCACAGGTAATAATTTTATGCTCTTAGATTAAGATGTTAAGTTGGAACGTGCCTCCTTTCTTGCCTCACCTCCTGTAACCAATGATGCTACCATTAGATGTGGTTTATATGGGAATTAGCTTTATAGAACTAGGAAACAAGAGCAGCAGATACCTATTCCTCAATATCTTTACTTCAGGAACTATATTTCTAAAATTAGAGTACAGTCAAGGGATGCGGGGGACAGATGTAGCCAAGATAAAAGACCCCAGGATGCTAAACCAAAGAGGCCAGTGACAATGTCACTTCTGATTCCCTGGTCTCACTTCAGCTTGCAGTGTGTCTACAATGTGGAAGGTATTCTCCATATTAATTTCATTCATATGGGTTCAAGAACAAGGGATTTTAAGTGGACCTGGATTTGGATGTTGATTCTGCCATTTATTAGGTGAGTGGCCTGGGCAAATTCTTTAGTCTCATTAAGCATAAGTTCACATGGCTAAAACAAGGGTAAGAGCGCCATTCTTTAAGGTAACGGGATTACAGAAAATGGATTGCACCAGGCCAGGCTAGTATTGGGTGTATAGTCATCCCTTGATAACTGCCGTGATATTGTTTCCAGGACCCTCAAAATCTATAGATGTTCAAGTCCTTGATATAAAACAGTGTACTTGGATGGGTGCAGTGGTTTACGCCTGTAATGCCAGCACTTTGGGAGGCAGAGGTGGGCGGATCACGAGATCAGGAGTTTGAGACCAGCCTGACCAACATGGAGAAACCACGTCTCTACTAAAAATACAAAAATTAGCCAGGCGTGGTGGCCAGACCTGTAATCCCAGCTACTCAGGAGGCTGAGGCAGGAGAATTGCTTGAACCTAGGAGGCGGAGGCTGCAGTGACCCGAGATTGTGCCACTGCACTCTAGCCTGGGCAACAGAGCGAGACTCCATCTCAAACAAAGAGAAAGACAGCGTACTATTTGCGCATAACTGCACACATCCTCTGTATGCTTTATCTCTAGAGCAGTTATAATACCTAATACAAGGTAAACGCTATGCAAATAGTTATTCAATTCTATTGCTTTTTAAGTCTATCATTCTTATTGTTGTAATTTTTTTTTAACATTTTCAATCCACAGTTGGTTGAATCCGTGAACGTGGAACTCATGGATAAAGAGGGCTAACTATATACAGTAAGTGCTTATTAATAGGCATTTGCTATATACCAAAGTAAATGCTACACCTAAGTAAATATTTCTCTGTATTTACCCCCCATTAAAGCCCAAGACAAGTCATTTCCTGGGTGGTCTTCCACTGTAAACGTCCTCAAACCAAACTCATCAACACAGTTTAATATCTGCCACATGCACGACACAAACTAACTCGCTGTTAAAGTCAAGAAGCTTTTCTGTGATATAGATTCTTTCATATTCTCTGGGACTTGAGCAAATGGTAAGGTTTTCCCATACTCATTTTCTTTTTTCTTTTCTTTTCTTTTTTTCTTTTTTTTTTTTTTTTTTGAGACAGAGTCTTGCTCTGTCACTCAGGCTGGAGTGAAGTGGTGCGATCTTGGCGCACTGCAATCTCTGCCTCCCGGGTTCAAGTGATTCTCTTGCCTCAGCCTCCCAAGTAGTTGGGACTACAGGCGCATGCCACCACACCCGGCTAACTTTTGTATTTTTAGTAGAGACGGGGTTTTGCCGTGTTGGCCATACTGGTCTTGAACTGTTGACCTCAGGTGATCCGCTTGCCTCGGCTTCCCGAAGTGCTGGGATTACAGGTGTGAGCCACCACGCCCGGCCAGGTTTTCCCATATTCACTTTGTTTACAGTGTTCTATCTTGATATGGTTTGAGTTTGTGTCCCTGGCCAGACTCATGTCGAATTGTAAGCCCCAGTGTGGGAGGTGGGGCCTGGTAGGAGGTGATTGGATCATAGGGGTAGATTTTCCCCTTTGGTGCTGTTCTCATGATAAGACTTCTCATAAGATCTGGTTGTCTAAACATGTGTGGCACCTCCCACCTCTCTCTTGCACCAGTGCCAGCCATGTATGATATGCCTGCTTTCCCTTCACCTTCCTAGACGACTGTAAGTCTCCTGAGGCCTCCCCTAGAAGCCAGATGCCAACACCATGATTCCTGTACAGCTTGCAGAACTGTGAGCCAATTAAATCTCTTTTCTTGATAAACTACTCAGTCTCAGGTATTTCTTTATAACAGTGTAACAATGCAAGAATGTACTGATACATATCTCTTTCATTCTGATTTTCTTTGATAGTCCTCAAACGCTCAGGCTTTTTTTTTTTTTTTTTTTTTTTTTTTTAACCAACTTGAAGTTCCAAGGGAATATCCCTTACGGAATCATTGAATTTTTATCCATGAAACCATTTGTTAATCAAATATATCCTGTTTTAAGTTGACATCTTCATTTTTGGCTTAATCTCAGAATGGTAAAGAGCCACATGGAACTCTTTCCTCTTACCATTCAGGGCTCTTGCCCTTGTTCGAACTACAAAAGTTACTTTTGGTCTGGAAGCCTACCAGATTGTTTTTCCCCCAGACAGGGTCTTTCTGTTGCCCAGGCTGGAACGAAGTGGTGCAATCATGGCTCACTGTAGCCTCAACCTCCTAGGCTCAAATAATCCTCCAGTCTCAGCCTCATGAGTAGCTAGGACTACAGCCTCATGCCACAATGCCCAGCTAATTTTTATTTTTACTTTTTGAAGAGATGAGGTCTCGCTTTGATGCCCAGGCTGGTCTTGAACTCCTGGCCTCAAGTGATCCTCCCGCCTTGGCCTCCCAAAGGGCTGAGATTATAGGTGTGAGCCACCACACCCTGCCCTACCAGATTTTTATGGTTTTCCAGCATCATGGCCCTGGGGCATGGTTCAGCTCATTCCTAGTTCACTCCTGCATGGTCCATCATAAATACTGATGAATAGAACTGATTCTTGGATATGAATGTTTGAGGCCAGTGGGCCATTTACTCTTTCTTCTTATTGTGCTTTCTCCTTAAGGTAAAGAAGAGTCCCAAGAAGCAAGAACAAAAAGAAGCCAAAAAATCTTGGTGTTCCAGAGGTTTCACGGGAACACCAGGAACAGTGGGCACTGTGATAAGAAACTGACACAGTGCTCTGGGACATGCTGGGACACAAGAGGTGCTCTGGCTCTTGAGGAAAGCGAAGCTATTCCAGATCCCAAGGCCAAATGTAACTGAGGTGCACTCTAGTTAATAGGTTGTCCTTCAAGCTGTCCTTTTCCTGCCACCCTTTAACTCCACCCTCCCCCCTCCCCCACCGGCCCGGGTTTATCAGAAAGGCTTGGTCATAGCTGTAGAGTAAGATGGGGAAGAAAAGCAGAAAGCACAGATACAGAAATAGCCCACAGCCCTAGGTAGGATCCTGTAGAAGGAGCTTCAGGGATGGCTGTTGCGGAATTCTATTGAAATCCACATTTAGATTTAGATTCATCCTGCTCTACAGAATCATTAGGATACTACGTTGGTTGGGAGACAATATGGTCCTTCATTTCACTTTCACTCAACCTCTATTAACATCCTAAAGACTTTATTGCCAGGCCAGTGTGAGACCTGGAGTCTGCTTTTGCAGATTCTACCTGGATTCCTGGCCAACTTGTTTTGTGGCTATGGAGGGTCAGGCCCAAGAGGTGATGTCAGACTTTTCTACCAGTTTTTGCTTCTCCCTGTTCCAAGCCAAGAAAAAAAGGAATTGATTCCTTTTCCAGTTTCTGGTACTTTCGACATGACGTATGAGCACATGCTACATAGCATGAGGGCGACTGGTAAATCATCTATGCATTGTAGCCCCCTTTTTGGGATAAAGAATTAAAAGTTTGTGGCATATTGGTTTGTGGACTAAAGCCGAACAGATCCTCAAAATAAATTCGTAAGTACCAATTTGTAGAAGAGTGGCATCTCTTTATCTAGACAATAATGTAAAAGTGCTTTAAAAACACCAAGTTTGGTGGAGTGCAGTGGCTGACATCTGTAATCAGAGGCAGGTGGATTGCTTGAGCCGAGGAGTTTGAGACCAGCCAGGGCAACATGGTGAAACTCTGTCTCTACCAAAAATACAAACAAAAGCCATCTGTGGTGGTGTGCACCTGTGGTCCCAGCTACTCAAGAGGCTGAGGTGGGAGGATCGCTTGAGCCCAGGAGGTCAAGGGTGCAGTGAGCCATGATCACGCCACTGCACTCCAGCCTGGGCAACAGAGAGAGACCCTGTCTCAAAAAACCGAAACTAAAACACCAAGGCCATGTCTTGTTCAACACTGTGTCTCCAGTATGTTTCCAATCAATATTTGTTGAGAAGGGAATGTGTAAGTGATAAGAGATGTTAAGAAATTCATATTCTCTTCTTCTAGGTCCTTCTTTACCTTGTACATGACAGGACTTACTGTAAAATGATGAAAGCTACCACTTTCGGAATGTCGGCCAAGGGACAAACAATGTGCTGTATATTATACATAGATTGCTACATTTCATTTAACCCCAGCTACAATTGTTTTATTCCAAGGTGAAGAAACTGAGGCTCAAAAAAGTTCTCCCAGCCATTCACTGTGGCACACGCTTGTAGTCTCAGCTATTCAGGAGGCTGAGGCAACAGGATGGCTTGAATTCAGGGGTTTGAATCTAGCCTGGGCAACATTGCAAGATCCTTTCTCTGAAAAAAAAAAAAAGTTAAATTTTAAGACAACATTTGTGAAAGATTTTTTTTTTTTTTTTTTTTTTTTGAGATGGAGTTTCACTCTTGTTGCCCAGGCTAGGGTGCAATGGTTAGGTCTCAACTCACTGCAACCACCGCCTCCCAGGTTCAAGCAATTCTCCTGCCTCAGCCCACTGAGTAGCTGGGATTATAGGCACCCACCACCATGTCCAGTTAATTTTTTGTATTTTTTGTTTCTTGACACAGAGTCTCGCTCTGTCACCCAGGCTGGAGTGCAGTGGCGCGGCTCACTAATTTTTTGTATTTTTAGTATAGGTGGGGTTTCACCGTGTTAGCCAGGATGGTCTTGATCTCCTGATATCATGATCCGCCCACCTCGGCCTCCCAAAGTGCTGGGATTATAAGTGTGAGCCACCGTGCCCGGCCAATATTTTGTATTTTTAGTAGAGATGGGGTATCACCATGTTAGCCAGGCTGGTCTCAAACTCTTGACCTCAGGTGATCTACCCGCCTTGGCCTCCCAAAATGCTGGGATTACAGGCATGAGCCACCGTACCCGGCTGAAGATTTTTTTTTTTTATATGTTCTCCCAGGCCATAAGCGTTAGAGCTGGTGCTAAAATCTCTCTCTCTCCAAAGCCTGTGTTTCTCCTACAGTACTAGAGTGCTTTTCATTTAAAGGGGTGTGTAGATGGCAGTTCCACAACATTTACATGTTTATGTGAAATTTTGAAGACTTGAAAGTTATAATTTACAAAATGCTAAAAATTGGTTGGTATAAAGAAAGGCAAAAAAAGATTGGGCCCAGGTCTGCCTTGCGTGTGACACTAAATGAACACCTTCACATGTTAGAACGATGGGTGTCCCTCATAAAGGTAACCTATTCCTTTTAAGTACAAAGATGCACTTAAAAAACTCGAGGTTCAGGAAATCAACAGCGATGTCAAATCCTGATTTTCTTTTTTTTTTTTTTTTTTTTTTTTTGAGATGGAGTCTCGCTCTGTCGCCCAGGCCGGAGTGCAGTGGTGTGATTTTGGCTCACTGCAAGCTCCGCCTTCCAGGTTCACGTCATTCTCCTGCCTCAGCCTCCCGAGTAGCTGGGACTACAGGCACCTGCCACCACGCCTGGCTAATTTTCTGTATTTTTAGTAGAGACGGGGTTTCACCTTGTTAGCCAGGATGGTCTCGATCTCCTGACCTCGTGATCCGCCCACCTCGGCCTCCCAAAATGCTGGGATTACAGGCGTCAGCCACAGTTCCCGGCACAAATCATTATTTTTATTTATTTAGATCTTCCGTTTCTCTCTTCACATCTCTTTTTCACCATCTAGAAAGCTGTATTTCATGAATGGCTGGGTGTGGTGGCTCACGCATGTAATCCCAGCACTTTGGGAGGCCGAGGCAAGCGGACCACCTGAGGTCAGGAGTTCGAGACCAGCCAGTGCAACATGGTGAAACCCTGTCTCTACTAAAAGTACAATTTGCATGACTTTTTATTCCCTCTGTAAAACTAGGGTCGCTGCAGCAGCCTTTCAGTGTTTCCTGTGCAGGGTCCTTGGTGTGGAATTTTATAAACTATGAGACCATGTATGTCTTCCTATCTCATTTTTTTTTTTTTTTGAGATGGAGTCTTGCTCTGTTGCCCAGGCTGGAGTGCAATTTGTGGCAGGATCTTGGCTCACTGCAACCTCTGCCTCGTAGGATCAAGTGATTCCCCTGCCTCAGCCTCCCAAGTAGCTGGGACTATAGGCGCCCGCCAACATGCCTAGCAAATTTTTGTATTTTTAGCAGAGACAGGGTTTCACTATGTTGGCGAGGCTGGTCTCTAACTCCTGACCTCAGATGATCCACCCACCTCGGTCTCCCAAAGTGCTGGGATAACAGGCGTGAGCCACCGCGCCCCTCCACAAATCACTCATCTTGAGAAGGCTGCTGAAGAGACCAACCACCTGGTTTCACCACCTCCCTTCCCACCCTGACTCCAGCACTATTACTGATATATGAGCTAGAAATAAATTATTTCAGCAAACAGTGAGGGTAAGAGAGTCCTCGGTAAGGCTTCCTTCTAATGAAACACAGCCCCCATATTGTTTCTTTTCTAACAAAAAGCAGCCTGAAAAATCAAGCTGAAAGCATAGATAAACAAGCTAAAAGTCTGCACAGGTAAATGCCGCAGCTGTGCCAATAGATGAAGGCTACCTGGGGGCCAGGCATGTGCAACCTGGTGGCTCCATCTTCCCTTTTGTTTGTCAACCACAAGTACAGTGAGGAACAGACAACATGGTGCTGGCCAGGTTGAGACCCCATCTGCATGAAAGATTAGGGTGGGCTGGCCAGCATCTTCATGCACCATGCAAATGTCACACCTGGTCCGAACAATCTCTCGCGCCCTATGTAAAGCAGACAGCGCCTTCTCAAGCTCAACTATGAAACCCCATGCGTTTCACCATGAAACCAGATGACGCACTTGGGAGCCCTTCTCTCTTTGCAAGAGAGAGAGAGAGCTATTCTCTTTTTCTTTCACCTATTAAACCTCCGCTCTTAAACTCATTTCTTCCACGTCCACGTCCTCGATTTCCCTGCCGTGAGACAATGAACCTCACATATTTACCCCACACAATAATGCTTCATTACTATCTGGCCTACAGACCCAAAAGGATGGTCCAGAAACATCTGTTCAAGCTCCCCAAATTTCCCACCTTCTCCATGCTTCTGCCCTGACTCATGCCCTCTATCCCCTGGCCTTGAAGTCCCTCATCTCACTGCCGTATGCTCTTTTCTGCCTAGAGACAGATGCCTGGACCCTGTCATTAACAGATGGGTATACGCAAGAACTAATCTGGCAGGGCTGGAAGGATATTAGTGGACAGCTTTTTGGCCGCAAGACTTGCTTTTTCTCACATCCAAAGGAAACTCTATTTGCTCCACAGAGGCCTGCTGTGTGGAGGCCCACAGGCTCTTGTCAGAGAGGTGGTTAATGTTTAGAAAAGGAAGAACTTTTATTTTCTTACAGCCTTCTGGAATCACTAGGCCTAAGGCTGCTAAGCACCAATTATTATAGGAGGAGATAATTAACTTAAAAATATCTTTGGTTATGAAATAGAATAAACACATTATAATTTCATGGCACTATAGTTCTAGCTTTCTCCCTAAACAATGACTAATGAGTTAATAGTGAAGCTAATAATTTGAACGCTATAACACAATGCATACCTAAGTTTAATAAAAATGTGCCAGTGATAGAATGAATACCTATGATTAAAAAGTGAAATGAAATTCACTCAAGGATAGAAATAAATTTCTGATCATGATTAATATAGTTACTTAGATTTTTATGCATTGATTTCTTCATTTCCTAATACAAAGGTGAATTTTACTATGCTAAATAGCAAAGTATGGTTTTCAATTTTCATCCTGAAACTGTCAATTGCTAATAACATAAAAGGAAAATTCATAGTTTGTTTTAATGTCTATAATGGATTTGTCTTAAATATTAACTACTCTCAATTTGCTCTTTTTAGAGAAATGAAAAAAAAAAAAAAAATGACCCAGATCCCTATTGTAAGAGACTATGGAGGCTGGGCACGGTGGCTCACATCAGTAATCCCAGCACTTTGGGAGGCCGAGGTGGGCAGATCACTTGAGGTCAGGAGTTCGAGAGCAGCCTGGCCAACATGGTGAAAACCTACTTTAGTAGACCTAGGAACCAGGTCTACTAAAAATTCAAAAATTAGCCAAGCATGGTGGTGGGTGCCTGTAATCCCAGCTACTTGGGAGGCTCAGGTGGGAGAATCACTTAAGCCCGGGAGGTGGAGGTTGCAGTGAGCCAAGATTGTTCCACTGCACTCCAGCCTGGGCGACACAATGAGGCTCCATCTCAGAAAAAAAAAAAAAAAAAAAGAGAGAGAGAGGGACTATAGAAAAGACAGGTCAAGAAGATCTAATCCGTTTTTTTTATCCACTTATTTGTTGTGTACACTAACTTCTTATAAAACTTGTTCTACTCTTTTATTATATTAAATGCCTCAGGTGGGAGTGTAGCTATCAAGTCTTATATAGGAAGCACCCAGGAACTGAAGAGGTACTGACTATACTTACAGGAACCAGGTCATAGCCATCTGCTTTATTTAGCACTTACTGATATCTTACTTTCTAGTTATCCTTGTCTGATTATAACTTCTCTCTATCATCTTGCTAACTTTCAATGATAATAAATAATCCTTCCATTAAGGAAGGAAACTTTTCAACTTTATTTTATTCTTTATATATGGGCAAAAGTTCCTACAATATGTTTTGAAACAAATATATACTTTTTTTAAGACAGGGTCTCACTCTGTCACACAGGGCTGAGTGCAATGGTGTGATCTCGCCCCACTGCAACCTCTGCATTCCATGCTCAAATGATCCTCCCAAGTAGCTGGGATTACAGGTATGCGCTATGACATCTGGCTACTTTTTGTATTTTTTGTAGAGACAGGGTTTCACTATGTTGTCCAGGCTGGTCTCCAACTCCTGGACTCAAGCAATCTGCCTGCATCAGCCTTCCAAAGTGCTCAGATTACAGGCGTGAGCCATCGCGCCCAGCCAGGATTTTGTTTTATACGATCAACATATATATATGTAAGTGCAAGTGTATATAGATATTTATTAAATTTAAAATGATTAAGAATTAAGCAAAGGGGTAAATACAATAAACATTTTACTTTCTACCTGTTTAAAATCCAGCACTGCGTGGTTGAAAGGACAGAGTGGCACGAGAGACAGGGCTTGAATCCTTATATCCTGAGACCCCAGTGAGGGAGCTTGTGTCTACACTGGGCCAAAGAACTTTAGCTACAGCGATTGAAAAGTTTGGATTCTCAGGTGTCTGGGTTCACACTAATTTGAGCACTCTCTTCTTCCCTTGGTTGGCTACATCTTTTGTGTAGCTGCTGCCTGTAACTCCTGAGTGATAACTTGGTATTTTTATTCCTTCTCTTTGCTTATCAGTTACACTTCACTCACTTAGCTCTCCCATTTCTTAGTTGGTTTTCTCTATACTGTATCTATTTTTTTTTTTTTCTTTGAGACAGAGTCTGGCTCTGTCACCCAGGCTGGAGTACAGTGGCGTGATCTCAGGTCACTGCAACCTCTGCCTCCCGGGTTCAAGTGATTCTCCTGCCTCAGCCTCCCAAGTAGCTGGGATTATAGGCGCCCGCCACCACGCCCGGCTAATTTTTGTATTTTTAGTACAGATGGAGTTTCACCATGTTGACCAGGCTGGTCTTGAACTCCTGACCTCAAGTGATCTGCCCGCCTTGGCCTTCCAAAGTGCTGGGATTACAAGTGTGAGCCACTGTGCCTGGCCTTGTTTTTCTTAAACTACAAACATTTCAAAAACAAAATGAAAAGCAGCCTGATATAAGGCAATCTTGCTAGACACCAGTGACATCATTTTTTGAAGAGTCTCAGCCCACGAAATGTGGCCCAGCAAATATTCACAGTACCCTGAACACTGAGTTGTTTTCGCTTTTGTCACCGCGGTTCCACTCAGTAATTGTATTCTGTGGCGAGGACAGTAATGAAAGAGTTAAGAGACTCCAACAGTGGTATCCCTTTTAAACTGATGCTGGCATTTAAATTGTTATAAAATGTCTATTCTGTACTTATTTAGAAAATTATACACTACAAAGAATTTCCAAAGCAGCATTCTAAACAAACACCAGGAAAGCCTTTACAAAGTACATGCTGACAAGCACGGGGAGACACATTATATTTTATGTTAATTCGGTAATCTTCACTTTCTTCTCCACTGCAACAGCTGCGGTTTTAGCTAAGTTCACAGAGGTCTAGCGATCAGAAGTTATACAAATTTCAGCGATTTTATTTCATCATTTATTTTATACTCATGTTTTGGTTTCTTTTTTCTTTTCTTTTTTTTTTTTTTTGAGACAGAGTTTTGCTCTTATTGCCCAGGCTGGAGTGCAGTGGAGTGATCTTGGCTCACTGCAACCTCCGCCTCCCGGGTTCAAGCGATTCTCCTGTCTCAGCCTCCCGAGTAGCTGGGATTATAGGAACCCGCCACCATGCCCAGCTAATTTTTGTATTTTTAGTAGAAACGGGGTTTCACCATGTTGGCCAGGCTGGTCTCTACCTCCTGACCTCAGGTGATCCACCGGCCTCGGCCTCCCAAAGTGCTGGGATTACAGGCATGAGCCACTGTGCCCAGCCTGTTCTGTTTTTTTTTTTTAAACGAAAATGATTGAGCTGAGTGTCCCCATGACCCAAACCAAATGTTTTGGCAGGGATTAGATTAGTGCAGAGAGTTGTGGGTGGTGAGTTCTGAACATGAAACCCCATGTGATCACTCACTCTCTAGAAACTCTTAAAACCTTTGCTGCTGCCCTTGCTTCAGTGTTGAGAGACTTTCTGAAGGAAAGCTTAGTGACCAATTGTTGCTCTGTTTGAAGGGGCCGAAACAAGGTCCAAAGAGCAGACACGGGAGGAAGGCACAGATGAGCTGAATATATGAAAACTTTTCTAAAATGACAGATGCTCCACTATGACTGGGGTGCATTGTTAGAGGCAAGGTTATCATTGGAACATCTACAAATAAACTCTGAGAATAACATGTAGTAACTCTAAAGGTCTTTAATAAAGATACCCCAGGCCTGGCGTGGTGGCTCATCCCTGTAATCCCAGCACTTTGGGAGGGTGAGGTGGGCGGATCACCTGAGGTAAGGAGTTCGAGACCAGCCTGCCCAACGTGGTGAAACCCTGTCTCTACTAAAAATACAAAAAATTAGCTGGGCATGGTGGCGGGCACCAGTACTCCCACCTACCCAGGAGGTTGAGGCAGGAGAATCGCTTGAACCCGGGAGGTGGAGGTTGCAGTGAACCGTGATCATGCCACTACACTCCAGCCTAGGCGACAGAGCGAGACTGCATCTCAAAACAAACAAAACAAACAAAAAACAGAAAAAAACACCCAAATATCTGCTCAAGGCATCTTCAGTCTAGCCAGGAGATATTATAACTTCCGTAGGTTCTTCTGTCAGTTGATGTTTCAGAAGCAGCGGTTGGCCCTTGGGTAGTAATCTGAACTTCCCTGAGGTATACCTGTGGCAGTATACAGATGTGATTCAGCGTGATAAACAGACTTGTTTTTTTCAGACATTATTAGACTGTAATAATTAATAACTGCCTTAATTTGCAACTATATTGTGCTTACTATGTAGAAGTCCTGTTGCTTAAATATATCTCAGTTAGTCTCTGTAAAAACCAATAAGAGATAAGGTGTGGTGGCTCACACTTGTATTCCCAACAGTTTGGAAAGCCGAGATGGATTGCTTGAGGCCATGAGTTTGAGACCAGCCTGGACAACATGGCAAAACCCCATCTCTACTAAAAAAACCCACAAAAATTAGTAGGGCATGGTGGCAGGCGCCTGTAATCCCAGCTACTCAGGAGGCTGAGGCAAGAGAATTGCTTGAACCCAGGAGGCACAGGTTGCAGTAAGCCGAGATCGCGCCATTGCACTCCAGCCCTCCAGCCTGGGCAACACAACAGAACTCTGTCTCAGAAAAAAAATTGTGACCAGCTTATTTCATTTATTGCCTTTTCATGTCAGTTGTAATGGCTGTCCATATCTGTAGCCACTTAAAAGATGATATAGCTTATTTAATCAACAAGACAACTTCTCAGCTCTCCAGACAGCAGATACTGAGGCACTGAGCTTATATAAGAGTACAATCTCAGGGAATAGAAGAGAGGGGCCAGAGAAGGAATCAGGGAAGGAGAGGAAGAGACCATCTGAGGGGCTGTAATAGACTTGGCTGCTACTAGGTGTGATTGATTGATGGCTCAATCCTTCTGGACTATCTTCTGAGAAGCCATAAGCCACATCTCAAGACACTCTGTTAAAGGAATGATGGGCCGGGTACGGTGGCTCACGTCTGTAATCCCAGCACTTTGGGATGCCGAGGCGGGCATATCACTTGAGGTCAGGAGTTTGAGACCAGCCTGGCCAACATGGTAAAACTCCATCTCTACTAAAAATACAAAAACTAGCCGGGCATGATGGTGCACACCTGTAGTCCCAGCTACTCGGAAGGCTAAGGCAAAAGAATCACTTGAAGCCAGGAGGCAGAGGTTGCAGTGAGCCGAGATCATGCCACTGCATTCCAGCCTGGGAGACAGAGCAAGACTCTGTCTCAAAAAAAAAAAAAAAAAAAAAAAAAAAAAAAAAATATATATATATATATATATATATATATATATATATATAGCGAAGATGTAATATTATCAGTTTTGGTCACCTCTTGGTCAAAGATTTTCTGCACTGGGTGTGTCTGCCCAGTGCTTTGTGCACACAAGCGTGATGAGCACAGCCTCACAGCACACCACCTGTGGCCAACAAGGAAGACCTGTTGGCCTTATGCAGAGGAATTGCCACAGAGAGGGGTGGAACAGATAGGTGAGGCTGAGAGGACCTCAAGGGGTACGTAAGAGGGGTCTGCACTGTTATTAGACATTTCTTTTGATATTAAAAACATATCTAAAACATTTTATCCTTATTTCCTTAGACAAATTATTGACCAAAAGATGTTTATGTAAGTCTCCTATGTGGTTAGAAAAAGTGTTTACGTCTGAAAAGATGTGATAAATATTTTACCAAGTTTTCCTCCAGGGAGATGTGCTAATTTTCATGCCCACCAGCAGGGGATAAATTCGTCTATTTTCTCTTAGCCCTAACCATAGTTCCTAAGCAGTTAGAGACAAAATGATGCACTGGAAACATAAAAGTTCTGGATTCTGTTTTCTGCAACTGAACTAGCTACACTTGGTAGACTTAGTTCTGTAATCAAATCATTTCTTTTGTAATTCATTAAGTGCTTATTAAGTGCCTCTTAGGCTCAGGATACTTTCTTGGCAGTGGGAACACAGAACTCAACAAGACAGAGATTTTGCTCTGTGAGGCTATTATTCTAGCAAGAGAGAAACACGTTGGACTAGTAACAACATCATTCATTGCACTTAAGTTTTACAAAGGAGACACACTGTGTATGACGGTACTTACCACAGATAACTATTAAACCAACGGGCTTGTCTTATTCTGGATGCTCAAGGAGAATCAGTCTGTTAGTAACCAGGTTGACAACCAAAAGAGAAAAAAACAAATCCCACATCTCCAATATTAAAAAAACAATTAAAAGTGAATTGTGATCCTCAAATAATTTGAGTAATTAAAAAATGTCAAGCATATACAAACCTATCCAAGTGAATGGGAACCCCTTCAAAAAACCCTTGGAAAAAAATGAACATATATTTGAGGATTGTTTCTCTCATTTGAAAATTATTTAAAATTCATTTTTTGAAAGTATCATCAGAACCAAAGTCATAAAATTTTGAATGCCCCTATTCATAACTCGCTTTCCTTTGAGGACAAATTAGTTTTAGCAAACAGCCCAGAGTCACTCAAAGCCAAGCTGAATGAATACAGCCTATGATCAACCTGGGAGATAACATTTTTAAATTAAAAACAATGCTTGACTCTAAAAGTAATGAGCTGTCTTGTGTACCTCATATACTGTATTAGTCTGTTCTCACACTGCTATAAAGAACTACCTGAGACTGGGCAATTTATGAAGAGGTTTAGTTGATTCAGTTCCTCAGGCTTAACAGGAGGCCTCAGGAAACTTACAATCATGACCAAAGGGGAAGCAAGCATGTCTTATCACAGGAGAGCAAGAGAGAGTGAGAGCGAGAGAGCGAGCGAGCGAGAGAGAGAGACACACGCACTTTTAAACCATCAGATCTCATAAGAACCTCACTATCATGAGAACAGAAAGGGGGAAATCCACCCCCATGATCCAATCACCTCCCACCAGGCCCCTCCTTTGATACATGGGGATTACCATTCAATGTGAGATTTGGGTGGGGACACAGAGCCAAACCATATCATGTACTATCTCCGCAGACAATCTCAACAATTTGTCAACATTTGTAAAGAGAAAGTTAGTCCCTACTAGAGATCCCAGAAGTTCTCTTAAGTTTTTTTTTATGGTTCTCAAAAGTCATCTAACTAGAATTTTTATTAAGAACTCCAGGTATACCTACAGTAATTTCTCAGCACAGATCTGTTAAGAGATAGGATCACAGATTTTCTGGCTCTTTGCATTTATCTTGGCAGAAAAGAATTCAGGGAATGGGTGTCAGGAAGGATAGACACATAAAAAGATATATACATATACACACAGATTATATATGTTATATAATACAGATATACGTATACAGATAACAATATGTACACACAGATATGTGTATATATAAATGATCCATATTACATAAAATATATAGGTATTTTGATGAAAGAGTTAAACTCTGTCAAAATTTGAAGAGGTGTCTTCTTTTTTTTAATTAGATACGGGGTCTCACTTTGTCACCCAGACTGGAGTGCAGTGGTAGGATCAGAACTCACCGCAACCTTGAACTACTGGGCTTAGAGCGATCCTCCCGACTCAGCCTCCTGAGTAGTTGGCCTGCTGAAATGAAGAAGCCGCCTCAAGGTCCCCCACATCCCTCCCACAGCAAAGGCTGTATCTGCCCAGGACCCAGAGGCACCAAAGAGACCAATGGTTTCTGCTTCCCCTCCCTGTTAATACCAAGAATGCAACCAAACCTTAACTGTCAAGAGACTATTTACAAATTTATCTCTGTTCCTGGATCCATTCATTCTCCCTAGTGATCCTCTCAATGGAATTCCTCTTCTCCCTACTCCCATAACTTGTTTGGCCAGGATGCTGTATAAGCTTCTTAACTCTATTAGGGAATAAGTAATCTGAGATTCTCCCCGTGTGCATGTTAAATACATTTGCATGCCTTTTCTCCAATTAACCTGTCTTAGTGAGTTGCTTTTTCTGCAAACTTTCACAGGGTGAAGGGGAAGTTTCCCTTGGCCCTTACAGCAGCAGCTTCAGAAGTTTACTACCCACACATTTCACACTCAACATCAAGTGGTGACACCACCATTCTATACATTTTTCACCGTATACACTTCAGATATCTTTAATAAGTTCTGAAGAATGTCGCAATTGGAGACAATTCTTAAGGGAAAATGAAAATCACAAAACATATAAGAATGGTGAGCTGTGGTCAAATAGAAGTCAGGGTTCTACCCTGGTGGTTTTCCAGAATGTTCTGTGGGAAATAGAAGAGGAAGCACTTGTAAAAGGAAAATAAAAACTCCGGCCAGGCATGGTGGCTCACGCCTGTAATCCCAGCACCTTCGGAGGCTGAGGTGGGAGGATCAACTTAGGTCAGGAGTTTGAGACCATCCTGGGCAACATGGTGAAATCCCGTTTCTACTAAAAATATAAAAATTAGCCAAGCGTGGTGGCCGCTGCCTGTATTCCCAGCTACCCGCGAGGCTGAGGCAGGAGAATCACTTGAACCCAGGAGGTGCTTCCAGTGAGCCGAGATGGCGCCTTTGCACTCCAGCCTGGGCAACAAGAGTGAAACTCCGTCTCAAACAAACGAACAAACAAACCTTGGAACCCCAATTCACTCTGCCAAAAGAAAAAAAAATGAAGCTGAAAGCTGAGCCATGCAAGAAGTTGCCTTCCCTTTTGTTCCTAAGCAGACAACTACAACTAAAAGGTTAAATACTTCCTACTCTGTGTCCATCTTATCTTTGTAAAGTGCCAATTTACTGAAAGCCGGAGGAATATATAAGTGACTCTTCCCTAACCTGCCCCTTTCCTCCTGCATTATGTGAATTACCACACCCTCCATCTTCCCTCTGCAGCCCACTCTTCCCCTTTAAATACTGAAGCCCTCAAATTCACCTTTGGAGAAAGGCCCAGACCACAGACTGTTTTAGTGATTCCATGTTCTTTTCTCCTGGGCATATCCTTAATCTTGGCAAAGTGAGCTTCTAAATTGATTGAGACCTGTCACAGAGACTTCTGGATTTACACAGTCATGGCATTACTAAAAAGGCTTTGGATGAGTCCAGCTGTCAGAGACATTCTAACAACAGCAACTCCATTTTGAATAGGGGCTGGATAAAATAAGGCTGAGACCTACTGGGCTGCATTCCCAAGAGTTTAGGCATTCTTATTCATGGGAGTTCAGCACCAGATACAGGTCTCAAAGACCTTGCTGATAAAACAAGATGCAGTAAAGAAGCCGGCCAAATCCCACCTAAATCAAGATGGTGATGAAAGTGATCTCTGGTCGTCTTCCCTGTTTATTATTATTATTTATTATGAGGCAGGAGAATAGGGCCTGGAGACAGGGAACCTAAGGCTGATTCACGCTGACTTCCTAAAACTAAATCAAAAGAAAAACCCCAACTTTCCACGCTCAAATAACAAAAGGACCAAAGGCTACGCCCTTTGCAATACCCTCCCCCTCCTTTTTCTGTGTGGCAGATGAGAACTGTATTTTTTTTTTTTTTGAGATTCAATCTCACTCTGTCACCCAGACTGGAGTGCAGTGGCACAATCTTGGCTCACTGCTATCTCTGCCTCCCGGGTTCAAGTGATTCTCCTGTCTCAGCCTCCTGAGTAGCTGGGATTACAAGTGTGTGCCACTACACATGGCTAGTTTTTTAAATAAATATTTTTGGTAGAGACGGAGTTTCACCATGTTGGCCAGACTGGTCTAGAACTCCTGACCTCAAGTGATTGGGCTGCCTCAGCCTCCTTAAGTGCTGAGATTACAGGCATAAGCTACCATGCTCTGCCTCTGAAATTGAAAGTACCTCTGTTTAGAACCCTCCTGCAACCATTCAGGCTGGTCTGGGGCCAAGTTTTCATTTACAAAGGGGTATAACTTTGTAACTTCACTTCAGCATCTGATTGGTCACTTTCTGTAGCCAATCAGATGTGTGCATAGGGTGCAACTTCATAACATCGCTTCAGCCTCTGATTAGTCTCCTCCTACAACCAATCAGACTGATGGAGAGTCGCTACTTCATTTACATAGCGTGTATACCAAGCAAACACAGGAAACCTCTAGAGGGTACGTAAACCCCACAAAATTCTGTAACCGGGCTCTTGAGCTGCTTGCTTTGGCTGCTCTCACTCTATGTAGAGTATACTTTGTTTTCAATAAATCTCTGCTTTTGTTGCTTCATTCTTTCCTTGCTTTGTGGGTTTTGTCCAATTCTTTGTTGAAGACGCCAAGAACGTGGACACCCTCCACTGTAACAATAATACACTAATTACAATGCATTAACATGTTAAAAGACACTCCTACCAGTGCCAGGACAGTTTATAGATGCCATGGCAATGTCAGGAAGTTACCCTATATAGTCTAAAAGGGGGAGGAACCCTCAGTTTCAGGAACTGCCCACACCTTTCCTGGAAAACTCATGAACAATCCACTGCTTGTTTAGTATATAATCAAGAAATAACTATAAGTATATTCAGTTAAGCAGCCCATGCTGCTGCTCTGCCTATGGAGTAGCCATTCTTTTTTCTTTTTTTAACTTCTCTAACAAATTGCTTTCACCTTACTCTATGGCCTTGCCCTGAATTCTTCCTTGCACAAGGTCCAAGAACCCACTCTCAGGGTCTGTATTGGGATCCCTTTCTAGTAACACAACATTGGCTATGAACTGGACCGTGTACCTAAACCATTTCAAGCCCAGTTCCCACATATTAAAGAGGGTTTTGTAACTGTGAAGTGAGTCTGAACACACAAAGCTCTCAGCACAGTGCCTGGCACAGGGGACACACTCAAAACAAGGTAACTGTCATTATACGAAGTTTCAGAGGATCTTTCCTAACCAATCTTGAGTTCTGCCAGTTTAGTACTGGTATGATTTGTTATTTGGGGTAAGGTCAGGGGGAGGATCAATAAGGTACCCCTTCATTCAAAGATCAATAAGTGGAGCCATATCTTGGAATGTGGTCCAGCGGTGAGCATCATCTCTGATACTGCAATACAATAAGAAATGCTTATCTGATCTGCACACCTGTTTACTGGAATGCAGCTCCTAAAACTCTTATACTCTCCAAAGTGTTAAGTGTCTTTTGGCATGCTAATGAATGACTGGTGGCTGGGGTCTCCTGGAGAGCCTTGGGATGGGGCCTGGGTGCCAGAGGAACCAACCGTAATATTAAAGTGTTTGAACTTTCCGCCCCAACACCCTGACCTCTAGAGACAGGAAAAGGGTTGGAGACTGACTTAATCGCCAGTGGCCAGTGATTTAGTCAATGGTGCCTAAGTAACAAAGCTTCCATAAAAACCCAAAAGGATGGAGATCTGAGAGCTTCCAGGTGTGTGACCCCAGGGCCGTGCTGGAAGGGTGGCGTACCTAGATACGGCATGGATGTTCTGCACCCTCTCCCATCCCTCTCTCCTCTGGCTGTTCCTGAGTTGTATCCTCTTATAATAAACTAGTCATCTAGTAAGTCGGCTGTTCTCTTGAGTTTTATGAGCCCTTCTAGCAAATTATAGAACCTGAGTAGGGGGCCATGGGAACCTCTGATCTGTAGTTGAGTTGGACAGAAGTTGAGGATAACCTGGAGACTCATCACTTGTGCGACTGGCATCTGAAGTGGGGACAGTCTTTTGGGACTCAGCCTTCAACCTGTTGGGTCTGCACTAACTCCAGGTAGATAAGGTCAGAATTGAATTGCAGGACGTGGCATTAGCATCTGCAGAGAACTGGAGAACTGCTTGCTGTTGGGGGGGAAAACAACCCACATCTGTTGTTGGAAGAATTGAGAGTAGTGGGAGAGTAGAGAGGAAACAGTTTTCCTTTCGGTGCTGCAATGCTGAGTGGCACGGAGCTAAGGAAGCCAACATTGAGTTGCATCTTTCTCAAGGCAAGGTAGATGTGCTTCACAGATCTAAGGCCACCCATCCAGGTCAGGAGCCGTGCGCTGTTACTAAGGAGAAAGTGCGTGTGTGGGAACACAACCCCTAGGAAAACAGTTGGGGAATTGGCATCTCCACCTTTGTACAGTCTAACAATCCATGCTGATTGCCTAATTGCACCTTAGTTTAGGAGCCTGAGCACCTGGCTTGGTGCACTTGGCTTAGTTTAGGACGCTGAGCCTAGGCATGTCCTTAACGTCGGCAAAATAAGCTTCTCCATTGATTGAGACCTGTCACAGAGACAGGTCTTGCTTGCTACCAGAGGGTGACCGTTGAGCCAGATTCCACTGTCCCTGAGAGTCCCCCTGCCCCTCCGGCCCTAGGCTTCTTTGTACATTAAACAGCAAGTCTGCAGGGTGCCTTTCAATTCTAACACATTATTCTCCCGCCAGCTGCGGTCATGTTCAGATTTGCAATGTTCCCCTTCGCCACCATGACAGCTTCTTCCTACCCAAAACTATAATTATATGTTTTCAGAAGGCCCATTTTCTATGTGAGAAATTTCAGCAAAACATCTCAAAACATCATGTTCCATCATCTTAACTATTAGAGATAAAAGAGCTCTTAGCGAGCAAATCCAACCCTCGCATTTTAAAATGAAAAACGGAAGCCCAGCAATTTTGTGTCTCACTCAAGGTCACAGAGAGCAGCGTGGCGGGGAGCTGCACCTGCAGCTTCTAGCTCCTTGTCTGGCACTTAAATCCAGTTACACCCTGGCCCTGGTTCTGATACAAGAAAAACCCTATTGAAACCTTAGGGAATTATTTTTCACTTTAGATGGCAGTTTTCGATTGCTATTTTACAGCTAGGAAAAGATAAGTATATTTTTTAAAGAAGCAAACACAACTGTAAAGTCAATCTCCTTCTTCACTTCGGCTATTTAAAGCAAGTTACGTGAATTCTCCGGGTGACTGATAAGAGAAGGCACGCATTTCTGGCATCCCTTACTAACACACCAGTGCACCAGAAAAGTATTGACTGATGGCTCCAGACACTAATAAGTCCAGAGTCTGTTCCTAGGAAAATGCTCTGCATGCGTCATTAAGGCTATTTTCAGGCTTGCTGTCTTGAACTGAAAGTAAACTAGCACTGGTGATTCTGAATTTAAATGTGATTTCAGTAAGGGAAGGAGCAAGCGCAACATATTTTCAGGGCTTGGGGCCTGGCAATATTTTTTAAAAGGCTGTAATAAATCTATAGACTTTTACAAGATATGACTTTTATAAGTTCTTTGAATAACAACCCAAATATTACCTGTGTATTTATCAATTCATATTAACTTGAATTGAAATACTCCTATCCAAAACAGGCATTTGTTTCCACTGCAGATGGGTCATACCATATTATACCAAGTAGAAATCACCTGTGATACGTTAACAGGCGAGCGGGGCCCCACCTGAAAAGTATTTCACAGAATTGCCAGTGGGTGGAGCTAAAGCGTGGACAATTTTTAGTGATGACCTTCAAAAGCACCACAGTTGATTCTCATACATGTCTTTGATTAAGAACCACTGATATTACCGAACAACAATGCAAATTTGGCTGCACCATTTCAACATATCCCACATTCAGGAATGGAACTCTCCATTGGAAGAAAGAGAGAATGTATTCTACAGCAGCGATGCTCAAATTTGATTTTGCATCATTTTCAGCAGCTGGGGTGGGGCTTGTTGAAAATACAAATGGCACATTTCACCCCAAACCTAATAAACTGAAATGGCTACAGAAAGGTGAGCTCAGGTAGCTACATTTTGAAGCAAGGTATAAAGAATATTTAGAAGCACACAAAATTTGAGAACCAAACCTCTCTGAAATTCTTCCTGAAAGGCTGCTTGTTTTCTAAAGACTGAACTGAAAATAGTAAACCAATACGTTTATTAAGGAGATGTGGTTGTATCAGACACAATTTTAAAACAGACCTAAATTTAAACCAAAGACACTAAAGCTCTTCCACCCACTCCCTAAACCTCCATTGTATGGGTTAACAGGCTAAGGAGGTGGCTTTTATCATGGAACCAAGGTAGGCAAGAAGCGTAGAAAAATGGGCTGGGGGCCAGGCACAGTGGCTCATGCCTGTAATCCCAGCACTTTGGGAGGCCAAGGCGGGCGGATCACCTGAGGTCAGGAATTCAAGACCAGCCTGGCCAACATGGTGAAACCCCATCTGTACTAAAAATACAAAAATTAGCCATGTATGGTGGCGTGCACCTGTAGTCCCAGCTACTCGAGAGGCTGAGGCAAAAGAATCACTTGAACCCAGGAGGTAGAGGTTGCAGTGAGCCGAGATCCCAGCACTGCATTCCAGCCTGGGTGACAGAGCGAGACTCCATGTCAAAAAAAAAAAAAAAAAAAAAAAAAAAAAAAAAGAAGAAAAGTGGGCCGGATATTAAAGGAATTGAGACTCCTTATTCGAGAATGCTTCAGCTAGTCAACCATGGGGCTCAAGACAAGCAGAAAAGAAAGCAAAGCCGGGAAGAGAAACTGAAACCTGTAAGGTGCATATGACATCAAAGAGCAGATGGATAGGAATGGGGGCAGTGAAGGAGCCAGAGAGATGACTGTAATGAAAAAGGGAGATACGGGAGTTGAACACGTCTGGGGTGAGACATATTTGTTACTTTACATGCAGGTCTTCCAAAGGCAGTTAAACAGAAAACAAATGCCTAGTGATGTTAGGATGTTGCTTGAGTAGTATATGATATTTGTAGAGGTATTTACAATTTTTAAAACATCTTTACAGATTTCATCATTTACTACATACATTTCCCTACCTAGCGATTTCTTCTTTACCTCAATTATAAAAGGACATTTTTAAGATCCCTTCTGAGTCAGAAAGTCAAATATTTTCAACAGGTATATTAAGTACTATTATTCCCACTTTGCAAATGAAGAACATCAGATGGCAGGCCATAGTTACATGTGGTAGAGACAGGAGTCTAAGCTGTAATTCCAACTCCACTGCCCCATAATTTCTGCTCCAATTTTAGACTTTGGCTAACTAGTGCTCCAGAGGACACAGGAAAAAAATACAAAGGCGTAAACCATGGGCAGTTTCACAAAAACCAGTGGCTGCAGGATAATAGCTTCCTATCTTGCAGAAAATGATACTGACAAAGACGAATTTTTAGGTTATAAAAAATAAATATCTTAATTACATTCTGTAGGGAAAAGGGTAGTCTTTATTATGAACAAATAATTTCTTAATTTTAAGGTCTTCCAGAAACACTCATCTGACAAACTTTTCAATTCTGTTCAATACCTTTCTTCCTTTCTTTCTTTCTGAGATGGAGTTTCACTCTTGTTGCCCAGGCTGGAGTGCTGTGGCATGATCTTGGCTCAATGCAACCTCCGCCTCCTGGGTTCAAGCTATTCTCCTGCCTCAGCCTCCCGAGTAGCTGGGATTACAGGCACCCGCCACCATGCCCAGCTAATTTTTTGTATTTTTAGTAGAGATGGGGTTTCACCATGTTGGCCAGGCTGGTCTTGAACTCCTAACCTAAGGTGATCCACCCACCTTGGCCTCCCAAAGCTCTGGGATTACAGGTGTGACCCACCGCACCCGGCCCTGTGTAACACCTTTCATTTGACCACATCGATGGCTGTGGGACTTGAAATGGCATCTACCATAAAATTAACACTGTTGTTGGGAACCAGGAGAACGGACACTGGCATGCTTGGCTCATACATTCATACCCTTTCCCCTTGCATGTCAGTCTCTGTGACCAGGGTGAGTTCCTTTAAGGACAGATGGTTTCCTTTATCTTTTAATTCTGCTGCTGACACCACCACCATCCACACCCAGCATTTGAGAAAGATTGCAACAAACATCTCAATGCCTACCAGGTGCCAGACGCTGAAGACACCAAGCTAAGTGCTTGTGAAAAATCAATTTAAAGGGGGAACAGACATAGCGTAATAGGATCTGGTGAACTGCATGTATAATTTAGGGGTGAACAAACTGTATGCAAAGGCTCCATGCAATGCAACTGAAGCAGGTTTAGATAGAAAGGTGAGAGATATAGTGTATATATAATATATACAGAATAACGTAAATAGTATATATAATATACACAGTATATCATAGTCTATCCAGTATATCATATGTAATATATACAATACAGTATATCAGTCTCTATATAATATATACCACATATAATATACACCATATGTTATATACTATATGTAACACATGCTGTATATCATAGTCTATATATAATATATGCAATATATCACAGTCTATATGATATATACTATACATTATATACAATATATATATTATATACATGTTGGCCAGGCCAACCTCAAACTCCAGACCTCAGGTGATCCTCCAGCCTCAGCCTCCCAAAGTGCTGGGATTACATGCATGAGGCACCATGCCTGGCCCTGAATACATTTCTTTTTAATGTGGATTTTAAATTTTTTTATTTTGGCTAGTGCAATTATCTGGTTTTCTTAAATAGAGATGAAAACGCATTCAATAAATATATAATATATATTCAATTCCTAAGTTGAATACTTTATTTTAAATGTTCATTAATTTTCATAGATATTAACTGCAAAGTGGATTTATAGCATGATAAAGAAAAAATATGAGTATAATTAATCTCTGTTTTTGTTGTTGGGTTGTATTCAAAGATGAATAGAACCAGGACTCTTAACCTCAAGATCCCAGGACTTATTGGGGTGGATAACATTGTACATAAACATGTATAAATGTGGTTAAATAGGTTTTAATAAAGAGTAGGGAGGATTTAGAGAAACTGTATCAACCATTAGATTTATTTTTATTAGTAACTAGATATTCCTTCCATGGATGTGGTTACGATTTTATAGTAACTTCTGGACCAAACCATGAAAACACTGTTGAACTTAGTTTATTATCAGTAACTCTCCATCTCAAGAACGTCATCTCTCTGAGCCTCAATTTGTACAAATGTAAAATTAAGAGGTTAGAACCGAACTACTTGTAATACAGTCTAAATAAGTTTTCCTAAGAACCACCCCACATAGGGGTCAGACTTCTAGATTTGGATACAGTTTAGGAATTTGCTAGAATTAAGCAAGAGGACTTGGAACATGAGGTTGGTTTTCATTCAAAATACAGCTGCTAAAAAGTTGAGCTAACTGCCATGCTTGCCAACAACATATTAAATACATCAAGTGGGATGACACTAGAGAGGCATAAATATTAGCAACGAAATAAAGGAAGATGGGGTAATTGACAGACTGGTGTGAAGGAAGGAATGATAAAAACCAACCCATCCAATGGCGATGTCCATGGTGCTGACCTTGAACCCCCAAGGGTGATATAACAAACTAGGCTCTGTGCTTTCTCTTTTTTTCTCCCTGAGACAGGGTCTCCCTCTGTCACCCAGGCTGGAGTGCAGTGGTGCACTCATAGCTCACTGCAGGATGGACCACCTGGGCCCAAGCAATCCTCCCACCTCAGCCTCCAGAGTAGCTGGGACCACCATGCATGGCTGATTTTCTAATTTTAATTTTTGTAGAGACAGGGTCTCGCTTTGTTGCCCAGGCTGCTTTTGCACTCCTGGGTCAAACAATTCTTAATATTATTAAATTTAAAAATATTTGCTTCTTCATAGCAACCAGTGCCAGTTATCTGCAAACATTTTATAGTAACCACCTGGCTGTATATCACTTATGGCACCTTTAAAAAATTCAGATGCATGGCCAGGCATGGTGGCTCATGCCTGTAATCCCAGCACTTTGGGAGGCTAGGGCGGGCGAATCACCTGAGATCTGGAGTTTGAGACCAGCCTGACCAACATGCAGAAACCCCATCTTTACTAAAAATACAAAATTAGCTGGGTGTGGTGGTGCGTGCCTATAATCCCAGCTACTCCACAGGCTGAGGCAGGAGAATTGCTTGAACTCGGGAGGCAGAGGTTGCAGTGAGCTGAGATTGTGCCACTACCCTCTAGCCTGGGTAACAGGAGTAAAACTCCGTCTCAAAACAAAATAAAACAAAACAAAAAAAATCAGACGCTCAGTCTGCAGTTTTGCCTGAATGCCTGCAGATTCAGATTTACTAAGTTTGGGGTGAACTTTATATTTAGCTGTATAACTTAAAGGTTGTTTGTCTGTTTGTTTTGTTTTTACTGTTGTTGTTGTTTGAGACAGGATCTGACTCCAGGCTGGAATGCAGTGGTGTCATCTCAGCTCACTGCAACCTCCACCTCCCAGGCTCAAGCGATTCTCCTGCCTCAGCCTCCCAAGTAGCTGAAACTACATATGCATGCCACTATGCCTAGCTAATTTTTTTAGTGTTTTTTGTGGAGATGGGTTTTCGCCATGTTGCCCAGGCTGTTCTCAAACTCGAGCTCAAGAAATCGGCCTGCCTTAGCCTCCCAAAATGTTGGGATTGCAGGCGTGAGCCACCACACCTGGCCTGTATATTTAAGTTTTTCAGTAATCCTGAGAAAAATTGGTGTTTGAGCACCCCAGTTCTACAGGCTACTTACTTTCCTTTATTTCTGATCAACATGTGCCTGGTAAAGGTATGCTGTTTACTAATTTTAAGATGTAGGAATGCCATCTTCCTTAAGGCCCAAGTCATACATTGTGAATTCATTCATTTCTTTAATTCACAAAAAAACACTTTTTGGGGACACTAACAATATTGTATGTATCATACTAAGCAGTAGGGGAATTCAAAGATGAACATAACAAAACAGGAAATCAGAATCTTGTAGAGGAGACAGGCTTACAAACAATTGCAATGCATTGTGAGTACTTTAGCATAGTTAAGAACAAAAAATGGAAGTTTTGCAAAGTTGGGGTTGATAGACTGTGCCTGGGGAGGGGTTTAGAAGAGGAGCAAGTTGGCAGCAAAGTTCCCAAGGGAGGACCCATTTGAGTTGGGTTGAGGGGACAAATAAATTGGGCTCCCAGGTTCCTGACTGCCACTGTCAATGGAGAATAGTAAATTATTTTCCAATTTCTCCTACTGCAGCCCACCAGATTCTCCTTCCCTAGAAATCCTGCAGCAATTAACGCGTATGTTAGTCAAATGGCATCTGACATCTACTGTTTTGCATTGCTCTGTATCTTTTACGTAGGTCTAGTCTTACTAGACTGTAAATTCACCAAACTGCAAGCTTTTTGAGGTAGGAACCACCTCCTATTGTTTTCCCAGTTGCTGGCATACACCAGACACCAATAAATATTTGTGGACCTCAAAGTTAGACTTAACACTCTCTGGGAACACAGACAGTCTTCAAGTGTGAAATTGCCAATACTGAATTTGAACACCAGTGTTGATGCCAGTTAGTAAATATTTGAATCTTGTGGCAAAAGGAGAATGCAAAGTGAATTTATTATTTCAATTGAATTACTTTAGAATAGATTATTTCAGAGTTTTCAAAAAATGACAATGTTTTTCTGTTTCATCCTATTCCATTTATTTATTTAACAAACACAGAGTCTTGCTCTGTTGCCTGGGCTGTAGTGCAGTGTTGTGATCTTGGCTCACTGCAACTTCCGCCTCCTGAGTTTAAGCAATTCTCCTGCCTCAGCCTCCCTAGCAGCTGGGATTACAGGCACCTGCCACCATGCCCGGCTAATTTTTGTATTTTTAGTAGAGACAGGATTTCACCATGTTGGCCAGGCTGCTCTCAGCTCCTGACCTCAAGTGAACCGCCCGTCTCGGCCTCCCAAAGTGCTGGGATTACAGGTGTGAGAACCACACCCAGCCTCATCCTATTCCACTGAAAACATTATTTCCACATTATTCGGACATTATTAAATTCCATAGTTTGTTTAGACATGCTTCAATCCGGGGCCCAGTTTATTAACATATTTCTAATAGTTGTGGGTCTGGAACTTGTCTCCCTACCAGGAGCTAGAATTTTTAGATGAAAGATTGTGAAGTCCCATTAAAGTGTGAATCTCTTATTCCTTCAGAA
This sequence comes from Homo sapiens, assembly GCF_000001405.40. NCBI lineage: Eukaryota > Metazoa > Chordata > Mammalia > Primates > Hominidae > Homo > Homo sapiens. Next base: position 18,466,662 of record NC_000010.11, on the reverse strand, counting down.
ATTGCTAGTATCTACAATGGATTCTCAAATTAACAGCTACAAACGAAATCAATTTTCTTACATCTGCCAAAACACCAGGAGAGAACCTTCTATGTAGGACTTTCATATAATTCAAAAATTAACAACCATGACCAAAAAACCAAGCTGATGAGAAATACAGGTAAAATATTGACAGGCTGAGGCAGGAGCATTGCTTGTGGTCAGGAGTTTGAGACCAGCCTGGGCAACATAGTGAGACCTCGTCTCTGTAAAAAATTTAGCTGGGCATGGTGGTGTGCTGGGACCTGTAGTCCCAGCTATGCAGAAGGCTGAGGCTGGAGGGTTGCTTCAGTCCAGAAGTTTGAGGCTGCAGTGAGCTATGATCATGTCACTGCACTCTAGGCTGGGTGACAGAGCGACACTGTCTCTAAAAAATAAAAAATATATAGATTAAATAGGCAAAAGACGAACTCCAGCTTTAGTGTCTGGAAGTTATAACTCTACTTCAATGGTTGAAAGGTTTTATTTGCTACTTAGGGATTCTTGGCTTCGTGCACCGTAACTGGAATGTCAGATAAGTCATCCCCAGGGTAGGGAGGTGTGCCTGTATGTGTTTGTCAAGTGTTGTCACTCTCTTGGGAGGTTTAGATAATTTTATTAAGTGCCAAAATGTTCAGTAACAAAACCTTTATAAAGAAGTTGGGGCCGGGCGCAGTGGCCCACGCCTGTAATCCCAGCACTTTGGGAGGCTGAGGCAGGCAGATCACTTGAGGTCAGGAGTTCGAGAGCAGCCTGGGAAACATGGTGAAACCCTGTCTCTACTAAAAATACAAAAATTAGCTGGGCGAGGTGGTGGATGCTGTAATCCCAGCTACTCGGGAGGCTGAGGCAGGAGAACTACTTGAACCTGGGAGGCAGAGGTTGCAGTGATCTGCAATCATGCCACTGCACTCTAGCATGGTTGACAAAGGGAGAGGCCATCTTGAAAAAAAAAAAAAAAAGAAGAAGTTGGATGACGTACTTATCTTTGGGATCAACAAGACTAAAAGGGAATGTGGAACACTGTGCTTCCTTTTGCATGCATCCTGGGAGGAAGTAACCAGGACCACATGAAGGTAGGGTAATGCTATGGAGAGAAGAGGAACACACGCTTGGGACTAGAAGGTGGAACGAGGGTGCTCCAAAAACTCAACCTGCGGCAAGAAGCAGGATTACACTCTCATCTTCTCATCTGTACATTTTTTCCCAGGTGATTTTATTTGCCTCCATGGCTTCAAGTACATCCTATCATGGATGATTCCTATATGTACATATTTAGCCCTGAAGTCTTGTTTCTAGTTTATTTATTTTTACTGAGACAGAGTCTTGCTTTGTCGCCCAGGCTGGAACACAGTGGCATGATCTTGGCTCACTGCAAACTCCCACTCCCAGGTTCAAGCAATTCTCCTGCCTCAGCCTTCTGAGTAGCTAGGACTACAGGTGTGCATCACCAAGCCCAGCTAATTTTTATATTTTTAGTACAGATGGGGTTTCACTATGTTGGCCAGGCTGGTCTTGAACTCCTGACCTCAGGTAATCTGCCTGCCTCGGCCTCCCAAAGTGCTGGGATTACAGGCGTGAGCCACCATGCCCGGCTGTTTCTAGTTTTCTATATCCAACCACCTCCAAGAATATCCATCTGATCCTCCCACAGCTCAACAAGTCCCAAGACGAAGTCACCTGTTCAAAGCCTGGCCTTCCCATCTGCCCCATTCTGTTGAATATCCCTTTAACCTGGACTCCTTCCTCTTGGTTCTTTCCCACTTTGCATTGGTTCACTAGAATCTGCATGTTCTAACCACTAAATACATAGTTTTAAAATGCCTCCCCTCCTCTCCCATTCCTACCGCCCCTGCGTAAATGCAGATGCTGTCAATTTTCTCCAGTTTAACTTTTTGAACACGTTGGAAAGGAATAAGAGCAGAAGCAGAGTCCAGATGAGAGTGGATGGTGGCTTGGAGATGTGTGGTAGTGGTGAAGCTGGGTGTATTTTAGAGTTATTATAGAAACAACAGGGCTTATTGATGGCTAGGGCCATTATTGAAAAGGGGGAGCCTGAGAGAAGAACATGTTGGGTGGTAGAGGTGGGCAATCAGGTGCTCCGATTTGGGTAAGTTTGAGGTCCGTGTGAATATACAAGTGGGGAAGCTTGGAAATAAAAATTGAATCTAAGAGTGAGAAGTAAAGAGAAAAGAGCCAAATTCTTTTTTTTTTTTTTTTTTTTTTAATTTTTGAGACAGGGTCTCACTCTGTTGCCCGGGCTGGAAGGCTGTGGTGTGATCACTGCTCACTGCAGCCTCGACCTCCTTAGGCTCAGGTGATCCTCCCATGTCAGCCTCCCAAGTAGCAAGCATGGACCACCACACCTGGCTAATGAAAAGAGCCAGGTTCTAAGTGCTAAAGAACCCTAACTTTGAGAAGTTATGCAGAGGGATAGGAGTCTGTCTGTCCCTACCACTCCCTCCCCAAAAGAAAAAAAAAAAGAACTGGCAAGAGATGTCCAGAGAACATGGTGTCTCAGAAGCCAAGAGCAGAGAACATGTCAAGTTGGAGGTAGGGTTCAACGATTGTGAAGGCCGCTGACAGCTTGGGTAAGATAAGACGATGTTTATGACTTCTCTGACAGCACAGAGGTTGTTAGTGGCCTTGTTGGGAGCAATGTGTTAGAGCTGTGGGAGGAATATCTGGACATGAAGAGGAGAGGAAGGGAGAAGTTAAGTGCAGACCACTCATTTGTCAAAGGCCTGGCTGGGAAGGGGGGCAGAGCTAGGAGGCTGCATGGAGCGGGAGGAGCTGGGATGTGGTGTTTTGGGCTCTGATCATGGGCCACTCCATAATGTCCATAATATGTCATGCTGATGGAGTGATCCAGTAGAGAGGGGATGACTAGATGCTGCAGGATAGGAACTCTTGGGGCCAGGCACGGTGGCTCCCACCTCTAATCCTGCTTTGGGAGGCCAGGGTGGGCAGACTACTTGAGACCAGGAGTTCCAGACAGTCTGGGCACCATGGCAAAACCCCATCTCTACAAAAAAAAAACAAAAAACAACAAAAAAAAAACAACTAGCAGGGCATTGTGGCGTGCACCTGCAATCCCAGCTACTCCGGAGGCTGATGTAGGACAATCACTTGAACCTGGGAGGTTGAAGCTGTGAAGCCGCAGTGAGCTATGCTTGTGCCATTGCAATCCAGCCTGGGTGACAAAGCAGGACCTTGATTCCAAAAAGAGAAAGAAAAAGTCTTGGAAGGTGAGAAACAAAGAACACAAAAACTTTTTTTTTTTAATAGATAAGAGGTCTTGCTATATTGTCCAGGCTGATCTTGAACTCCTGGGCTCAAATGATCCTCCTGCCTCAGCCTCCGAAAATGCTGGGATTACAGGTGTGAGCCACCATGCCTGGCCAAGAACAGGAGGATTCTGACAGGAGGAGAGATGCTTCTTCTAACAGGAGGGAAGAAGGAGAACACACAAGGGGCACAGATAAAGGCAGGTTTACAGATTTGGTGGTGGCAAGATGAGGCTGTTGCTATCTGTGAAGTTTTTATTTCTTAGTGGAGCATGAAGTGAGGTCAATAAATGAAATAAGTGGCCGGGTGCGGTGGCTCTTGCCTGTAATCCTAACACTTTGGAAGGCCAAGTTGGGTGGACCATGAGGTCAGGAGTTCGAGACCAGCCTGGCCAACATGGTGAAACCCCGTCTCTACTAAAAATACAAAAATTAGCTGGGCGTGGTGGCACACACCTGTAATCCCAGCTACTCATGAGGCTGAGGCAGGAGAATCTCTTGAACCTGGGAGGTGGAGGTTGCAGTGAGACTAGATCGTGTCACTGCACTCCAGCCTGGGCAACAGAGTGAGATTCTGTCTCAAAAATAAATAAATAAAAATAAAAAATAAAATACGTAAGTAAAAAATATAAAATACTAAAAAATGAAAGAGATACTTTTCACTTTTTAACAGTAAAAAGAGATGCTAAAAATACTGAAAGCAAAAGAGAATACAAAGTTTGAGGGACAGGGAAAGGTATAAAAGTCCTCTCAGATGATATGAAAGTGAACACTGTTTACATTTGCTTAATAAATAGTTCCTAGGCAAGGTGCAGTGGTTCATGCCCATAATCCCAACACTTTGGGAGGTCCAGGTGGAAGGATAGCTTGAGCCCAGGAATTATGAGGCCAGCCTGGGCAACATAGCAAGACCCCATCTCTACAAAAAATACAAAAATTACCTGGGCATGGTGATGTGCACCTGTAGTGCTAGCTACTTGGAAGACTAGGTGGGAGGATCGCTTGAGCCCAGGAGTTCAAGGCTGCAGTGAGCTGCGGATTGTACCACTGCACTCCAGCCTGGGTGACAGAGTGAGACGCTGTCTCAATCAATCAATCAACCAACCAGCGCTCCTATTTGCTGTCTTACAGGCAGTGTAAAAGCTATTTCTGTTTTTAGACAGCTTAATAATTTCTTATAGTGAATATTCTGTCCCAGGATCCTTGGACATTTTACAAAGCTCTGGAGAAAGATTATGAAATCAAGACTGCTGGGAATCTCATGCAAGAAGTTCGTGTGCATGGGGAAAATGAGCAAAACACAGTACCGATTCTCTAGAACGGGATAGATTCCTGGCTGTGAGGGTGGAGAGGTATCTCTTCCTAAAATAAGTGAACAACCAACATGGAAAAAATAAAATTTCAGACATCTCTCCAGAGCTCCAGGAAAGTTTGCAGATGCCAAGGCAGCTATGTCTTATCAGATACTGGATAAACTCCCTCCTCGAGTGCCAAAGGATAGATTGGAAGCCACTGGCATTTCCCACTCATACTGTTCGAGGAGTTGCAGAGTTGGGTGATGGTACAACGCCAAAAAAAAAAAAAAAAAAAAAAGCTTTATCGAAATGCCTAAAGCAGGGGTCTCCTGCACAGCTGGGGGCGGTGAGCAGTGGGTGAGTGGGTGGCATTAGATTTTCATTGCAGCGTGAACCCTGTTGTGAACTGCACATGGGAGGGATCTAGGTTGAGACTCTAACTAATGCCTGATGATCTGGGGTGGAACAGTTTCATCCCAAAACCATCTCCCACCCCCTCCCCACCTGTGGAAAAATAGTCTTCCAGGAAACTCGTTCCCTGGTGCCAAAAAGGTTGGGGACCACTGGCTTAAAGCACACACATTCAAAAAATATAAATATATCTTGATAGAATCAGGGAAGTCATGAACACTGGATTTGAAAGGAACTGAAAAGGGAGAATGCTATCAAACAAGAAAGTTAAAGCCTTGAAAGGGGTCTGACCAGAGAGTGATCTGTTACAGCAAGACAGTCACTCTGGATAAAGTTCAAAAGATAAAGGTGGAATAACGCCTGGCACCTTGAGGATAGGGATCGAAAGAATTGTGTGTAATTGAAGAAGGGATGCTGGTGTAAAGATAGAGCAAGAAAGGCAGGGCGCAGTGGCTCATGCCTGTATTCCCAGCACTTTGGGAGGCCGAGGTGTGCAGATCAGGTAAGGATGGGTGATCAACATGGAGAAACCCCATCTCTACTAAAAACACAAAATTTTCTGGGCGTGGTGGCGCATGACTGTAATCCCAGCTACTCGGGAGGCTGAGGCAGGAGAATAGCTTGAACCCAGGAGGCGGAGGCTGCAGTGAGCCAAGATCACGCCATTGCCCTCCAGCTTGGGCAACAAGAACGAAACTCGGTCTCAAAAAAGAAAAAGGAAAGAAAAGAAATAGAGCAAAAAGTGGATTTTTTTTTTTTTTTTTGGAAAGATCTTGCTTTTTCACCCAGGCTGGAGTGCAGTGGCACTATCACAGCTCACTGCAGCTTCAACCTCCCACGCTCAAGTGGTCTTCCCACCTCATCTTCCTGAGTAGCTGGGGCCACAGGTGTGCCCTACCATACATAATAATTTTTGTATTTTTTGTAGAGATGGGGTTTCACTACATTGTCCAGGCTGCTCTCGAACTCCTGGGCTCAAGTGATCTTCCCGCCTTGACCTCCCAAGGTGTTGGGATTACAGGTGTGAGCCAGCATGCCCAACCAGAATCCTTTATTTATTTTTTTAAATGGGAGGGTTTCAAAGACTTTTTAACCTGCCGAAAAGAAAATCTTCCCTGGCACCATCACTAAACTCAATCTCTAGGCTTGTATACATCAGAACTCCCACAGGAAAAAATAGAAATAATTTTGAAATATCCCTACACATATTAGAAAAAGTCAGTCCTACTTAACTATCAGAGCTGTGTGTATAAATGTTGTAAGTGATGAATTTGAGAAAGGCTTCCCTTGGAACTTATCCCTACTAAACCTCCGAGAGCTCATCATTCAGAGAAAGAATGTAAATGTGCAAACAGAAGTTGAATACATTGGGCTAGAAGATAATCCCTGGTTCTTTCCAACATGCTTTATGTTAATCTACTGACAGCCACAAACAAAGAGGTAAAACATGAATTAAAACAACACTCCTAATCTCTCCCAGGCCTTTCTTTTATGCATGATTATAGATGTCCATGATCCCACTTGCCATTTGAGAATATGTGTGTACGTGTGTATATATGTATGGACATATACATACATAAATAATAATGTAAGATATGATTTTCTTAAATGAAACCCAAATATGTTAGTATTCGACTTTTTTTCCTTTTCTTTTGAGATGGAGTCTCGCTCTGTTGCCCAGGCTGGAGTGCAGTGGTGCGATCTCGGCTCACTGCAACCTCGGCCTCCTGGGTTCAAGTAATTCTTTCACCTCAGCCTCCCGAGTAGCTGAGATTACAGGCACCCATCGTCATTCCCAGGTAATTTTTGTATTTCTGTAGAGACAGAATGTTGGCCAGGTTGGTCTTGAACTCCTGACCTCAGGTGATCCACCCATCACGGCCTTCCAAAGTGCTGGGATTACAGGCGTGAGCCACTGCGCCCGGCCAGCATTCTACTTTTACAAACAGCTGGAGAGTAAGAACTGCCCAAATAACTACATAACATATCTAGAACATTATGGATCTTTTTAGTTAGCAATAATATGATACATAATAATAAAAAAGGGAGAAATAACTATTTGCTGTTTTTGGTGAATTTCACCCAAGCATTGGTCATGCCATAGAGCACCACAGCCAGGTGAGAAATTCTTAGCTCCTAACTGGCAGCACCACTGTATGGCTGTGTAAAGCCTGGATGATTCAGGTATTCCCAGCATTGAGGTGATTTGTGGTGTGGTGGCGGTCAGCCCCATGAAACTCTGAAAGAATGGTCTCAGTCCAGAAAACCACAAGTCCCATGGGATAATCTCAGCCACCTCCTTCCTTCAAAATTGTTCCAAAGGATAGTGATATTTCTGCAGAAGAAACAGAAAAATGATAGCTGGGAGGGGCAAATGACAATTGGTCTAATGTTTCTAGTGTCATTAGGACATGAGATTTTAATGTTCTTGGCTATAGCTGTGACAATGAGGCAGCAATATTCTTTTGACAGAAGCCAAAACTGTATGTTTTTAAAATTTTTAACTAAAAATTCATAGTATCTTCAATGTTGAGCTATCAACAGGAGCAGAAGTCTTTTTAAAAAATGTTTGTGAAAGTTCATCTTGGGCCAGGTGCAGTGGCTCGCGCCTGTAATCCCAGCACTTTGGGAGGCCGAGGCGGGGAGATGACCTGAGGTGAGGAGTTCAAGACCAGCCTGGCCAACATGGTGAAAACCCATCTCTACAAAAATGCAAAAATTAGCTGGGCATGATGGCGGGTGCTTGTAATCCTAGCTACCTGGGAGGCTGAGGCAGGAGAATTGCTTGAACCTGGGAGGCGGAGGTTGCAGTGAGCCAAGATCACGCCATTGCCCTCCAGCCTAGGCAACAGAGTGAGACTCTGTCTCAAAAAAAAAAAAAAAAAAAAGTTCACCTTACTTTTTTCCTACTGTTAATAGTATAATAGTATGCATAGGCCTTTGAATTAGTTGGCCATTGCAGTTAGGATGCTAATAACAAGTGAAAAAAAATCTTGATTTTATTAGGACTATTATTTATATCCTTTGGGACCTTTTTGTCTTATATGTAGGACATTTCTTAAAATTTTGTTTATTAATTCCATGTTAAGGCATGAAGAAAGACTATGGAAGAGTTTCTAAATGATACTGTTGTAATTATTCATTTGTATGTACCCAGCATGTATTGAGACTAGTATGTGTTGAGTACTAGTATGTACTGAGCATACAGTAAATGAAACAGACACAATTCCCATCCTCATACAGTTTATACAACCTTTTAGAATCAATGCAAGTAGGAATTCACCACATGCAAATTAATAGTAAAACATGAAAGTCAACTAGAATAAAATTTTCACATTTCCTAGACTTTTACAATACTTGATTTGCCAAATTTGTTTTTGAACTTGAATCTCACTATTTTTATCTTAAATTATGACTCCACAGGAAGATATGAATTCATTTGCAACAGAAAACCTTAATAGATTTTATTACTTAGTTTCAAACAAGCGTAAATGTTTGCATAGTCTAAAATACTTGTATATTTTTAAAGGGAGTGTTTCATAAAAGACAATGAGATAGCAGAATTGGTTAAATGATTTCTCTGCATCATCAAAATATTTCAAAAATAATTTTCTGGCTTAGTGAAATGTGTCTGTAGTCCAAGGCTGGTAATTATCTAAAACAATTAGCTGTGTTGAGAACAAATACATTCTACTAAAAATAAGTTGATTTTTATATTTAGTACTTCTCCAAACATTTTCTCCTTTTTTTTTTCCTTTTTTGAGATGGAGTTTTGCTCTTGTCACCCAGGCTGGAGTACAATGGTGCAATCTTGGCTCACCACAACCTCCGCCTCCCGGGTTCAAGTGATTCTCCTGCCTCAGCCTCCCACGTAGCTGGGATTTCAGGCATGTGCCACCATGCCCAACTAATTTTGTATTTTCAGTAGAGACGGGGTTTCTCCATGTTGGTCAGGCTGGTCTTGAACTCCTGACCTCAGGTGATCCGCCCACCTCAGCCTCCCAAAGTGCTTGGATTACAGGCATGAGCCACCGCGACCGGCCCTCTCCTAATTTTTCTTTTACTCTAAAAAGTTAATGTAAAAGACTGCTGCTGTGCTAAGGAGAGCTGGGACATATTTAAACTAAGGACTATTACCCAGCAGCATCTTAAAAGGAGGCATTGCTATGTGGGAGGAACTTAATTTATGCTATACAGTCTAAGGTGATAGCATTAAGTTTTCTGAATATAATTAATAGAGTTTATTTCAAAAGTTCTTGGAGGGCCAAGTGTGGTGGCTCATGCCTGTAATTCCAGCACTTTGGGAGGCTAAGGCAGGAGGATACTGTGAGCCCAGTAGTTCAAAATCAGCCTAGGCAACATACAGAGGTCCCGTCTCTATAGAAAATGAAAAATTAGTTGGTTGTGGTGGCGCATGTCTGTAGTCCTGGTTACCCAGGAAGCTGAGGCAGGAGGATCACGCAGCCCCAGGAGGTTGAGCCTGCAGTGAACCATGACTGCACACTGCACTGCAGCTTGGACACAGAGTGAAACTCTGTCTAAACATACACCCACACCCAAAGTTCTTGGAGGTGTATTTGTGCACCCATGCTCATAGCATCATTACTGACAGTAGCCAAAAGTCATGATCTGTGTGTAGACTATGCCCAGTGGTAGAAGGCAGAGGTCTGAAGGGCCCTTAAGGGGAGAAAGGGAACAGGAGGAAGGCTGCATTATTTACAGTAGCCAAAAGGTGGAAGCAACCCGAATGTCCACCAATAGATGAATCAAATAAACCCAATTGTGGTATATGCATACGGTGGAATATTATTCTGCCTTAAAAAGGAAAGAAATTCTGATAAATGCTATAACATGGGTGAACTCTGAGGACATTATCCTAAGTAAAATTAGCCAGTCACAAAAGGACAAATATATGATTCCACTCATACCAGGTAGTTAGAATGGTCAACATCATAGACGCAGAAAGTAGAATAGTGGTTGCTAGGCCTGGAGGAATGGAAAGTGATACAGTTTGGATCTGTGACCCCACCCAAATCTCATGTCAAATTGTAATCCTCAGTGTTGGAGGTGGGGCCTGGTGGGAGGTGATTGGCTCATAAGGGTGGCCTATGAATGGTTTAGCACTATATCTTGGCGCTGTTCTCGTGATAGGATTCTCATGAGAACTGGTTGTTTATTTTATTTTCTTGAGATGGAGTCTTGCTCTGTCATCCAGGCTGGAGTGTAGTGGGTGTGATCTTGGCTCACTGCACCCTTCGCCTCCCAGGTTCAAGTGATCCTCCTGCCTCAGCCTCCCAAGTAGCTGGGATTACAGGTGTGTACCACCACACCTGGCTAATTTTCCTATTTTCAGTAGAGGCGGGGTTTTGGTCAGGCCGTTCTCGAACTCCTGGCCTGAAATGATAAGCCCGCCTCAGCCTCCCAAAGTGCTGGGATCACAGGTGTGAGCCACCGTGCCTGGCCAAGATCAGTAGGAAGTTTCTTAAGGGAGAGGCATTATGAAAGTGGTCATGTACATTCATCTGTCAAGAAAGTAAAGATTCCATTAAATAGAGGAAGAAGAATAATTGACAACAACGAGACTGGTTCAGTGGGAAATGGAAAAAAAGGCAAGCATGTAGATGTCTGTAAACGCAGGAAATATCTTATTTCCGGTGTAACTGCACAAACTATCCTTGGTATAAATAGAAACATCAGCTTTAATGGAACAAAATGTCACCCTCAGTGAGCATCCTTCATGGACCATCAAGCTAGGCCATGCCTCATTTCACTGCCAACCAGTGAAGCTCAATTCTACTCAGCTAATGAAAAGAAATTCTGCTAAAAGGATAGAGTTAGAAGCCCACCACTTTTGCTGGGTTATGACCTTCTTATTATCATACTAAAGCAGAATCCATTTGCAGTTGCAGAACAGCAGCTGGAACACAGATGGGGCCTGCAGAGTTAAAACACTTAAGGAACCTTAGTGCCTTAACCTTCTTAAAATTCCTGAAAGATAAGCAAGTGAAAAGTGTTGAGTGATATACAATTTGCCCTTGGGCTAAGTTCCATTACTAAAAACTCCTTCACCAGCATTTTCTACACCAACTTTATACACTATTTATCCCCTAAGGAAGAGCCAGTTGGTATTTACCTGTGTGAACACAGGTGTTCCCAACAGAATTAACCTCCAACAACAGCAATAGCAGAATGTAAACCAGATTACTCACTCTTTCTCTGAAAATGTTTTCTTATCTCCAGGAATCTTCAAACACAGCTCTCCTACCTCAGTTCTTCCAAGTAACTCTATCAGCACTCATCTACCTAATAACTTAAGTGCCGTTTCTAAATCAAAGTCTTAGGCAACACTTTCTTACTAAGTCACCAACCCAACCTATCACCAAGCACTCTTGGAGTCAACCAGCCCCCACATGTTCCTTTCCAAACTGTGCAATGACTGCTGTGCATTTGTCTGTCACACTTTTTCCTAAAAATATAAGTTCCTCTGATGCACCTTTTAATGCTTTTTCCAGAGGCACATATTGGTGGATATTATTATGTGAACTCTCATTATGACTTTGGTGTTGACTTTTCACGTCAATGAGTACGAATACCACTTTTTTTTTTTTTTTTAAGAGATTGGGTCTCACTCTGTCACCCAAGGCTGCAGTGGCACAGTCATAGCTCACTGCAGCCTTGAACTCCTGCACTCCAGTGATCCTCCCACCTTGGCCTCCACAGCAGCTGGGACCACAGGTGCCTGCTATCACGTCTGGCTAATTTTTTAATTTTTTTGTAGCGGGGGGCAGTCTTTCTATGTTGCCCAGGCAGGCCTTGAACTCCTGGCCTCAAGCAATTCTCCTGCCTTGGCCTCCCAAAATACTGAGATTGCAGGCGTGAGCCACAGTATCCATCGATATCACACTTTTGAAAAAACCAGTATCATCTGTCTCCTCCATTGGAAAGAAAATTGTGCATGTGTGTGCTTTTGAAATACTACACAGTCCATTGACATTTAAAGTGCAAGTACTGTGCAGACGTACCAACTGCATTTTCTTTAAAACTTGGTCCTATGATTGATATTAAATGCTTTAATATATGCATTCCCAACAGGGGCAATCTCATCCCCAAGGGGGCAAACGTTTGTTCTTAGGGGGTAAAAAAACAATCTTACTCATTTTGAGTATAAAGTAGAGATACACATACAGTACCTAGAAAAATACACGGTGGTATAGACATGTCTGTGGTATGAAATTTTATGGAGGGAGGGATGGTGATTAGGAAAAAAACTGCCTAGAAAAGGCCCCTTAAGGGGGCGATTAATGACAAAGGTTGAAAAACGCTGGTTTTAAATGAAACATTAATGTTAATACAGTAACACAATATAGGTACTTATTAGGGATCCTTGAAATCTGTAGATATCATTTTCTGTTGGACCCTTTCTCTAATTCCTGAGTATTTGGTACTACTTCCCCTGAATGTTCCTAAGGGACAGAACCCTTCTCCCATCAAAGCACCCATCACTCTACATGATAACTGTCCATTTTATTTTACCCCTCACTGTCCTGTTTACATTTCAAGAGAATAGAGACTGTCTTCATTCATTCATTATTTATACAATACCTATTGTGGGAAAGGCGCTGGGCTTGTTCCTGGGAGTACAATCAGAAACAAGTGAAACACAAACGCAGGCCTCCAGGCACCTCCATGCTACTTGTTTAAAAACAGACAAGTAATCAGCTGGTCATGGTGGCTCACACCTGTAATCCCAGCACCTTGTGAGGCTCAGGCAGGCAAATGACCTGAGGTCAGAAGTTTGACAAACAGGAGTCTGGCCAACAGGGTGAAACCTGGTCTCTACTAAAAATACAAAAAATTAGCCAGGCATGGTGGTGCACGCCTGTGACCCCAGCTACTTGGGAGGCTGAGGCACAAGAATCATTTGAACCTGGGAGGCAGAGGTTGCAGCCAGCCGAGATCGCGCCACTGCACTCCAGCCTGGGCAACAGAGCGAGACTCCGTCTCAAAATAAAATAAGGCAAGAAATTGGTAAGTATGTGTACGAGACAATCTATGAACTCTTTCATTAATGTTCTGTGGAGGAAATAAACAGGGTGATACGAGCGGCAGTGCTCAAGAAGTCTCTGAGGAGGAGACAATGAGTTGGGACATAGATGACAGTGAGTAGGTAGGAGGGGAGAGATTCCAAGCCTCATGGAGGGACAGAAAGAGCTCAAGGGAGCAGGCCTGTGGAGGCGATGGAGGGAGACAAGAGTACCTGCTAGGCAATGAGGTGGGACTGGCAGGAAGGACACTGGAAAGTCAGGCTGACACGAGCTAGTTTACGCACTGCCTTTTAAACCATGAGAAGGAGTTTGATTTGTCTAAGAGTAATAGACAGTCACAATAGGTTTTTAGGTAGGACAGAGACAGGATCCAATTTAAGTGTTAAGAAAATCCCTCCAGCTGTCGTGGGGAGAGAAAATCAGGAAAAGCAAGAGAGAGAGGAGGAGACAGGTCAAAAGGCTGTTCTAATATTAATAGTTCCAGGGAGACAAAACATGGCTTGGACTAATGAGGTAGCAGCAGAGATGGAGAAAAGTGGATCAGTACAGATCATCTGAGCAGGGGAGAGAAACAGAGAGGAATCGAGGATGCTTTCGGCTTGAGCAACTGCATGGATGCTATGATGTCAGCGGAGATGAGATTTTTATCTTGGTTTTATCCCTGACTCTGGTTTGTGTTGGCCTCTTCAACCAGGTCTGCTATCAAGCGTGGGATATTCTAATATCCTTCTGCACTAAGGTATAGTCCAGTAAGAATCTACCAGGTATACTCATTAAGGAATGACTAGAGTCAGCAAAAGCAGCCAGGGTGCTGCTGGTAGGCCAGAGAACCTTTTTTGGTGAACAAAAATATAGAAATCATCCTAGGTAGAGAACTTCTGTCTATAAGGCTAACCTTGCCCGGTGTGTTGGTGTGCACCTGTAGTCCTGGCTCCTCAGGAGGCCAAGGTGGGAGGATGGCTTGAGCACAGGAGTTTGAGGTGACAGGGGAGCTATGATTGTGCTACTGCACTCCAGCCTGGCTAACAGAGCAAGACCCTGACTTTAAAATATTAAATTAAAAAAGGTCAACCTTGATAACCTTTATTTTTGCAAAGATTAATTGAAGATAGTCTTTTGATGTGATATTAGCTAGATAATTTTTTTTTAAATGTGCTATGGTTCTACTTATTATTATTTGAGACACAGTGTTTCTCTGCCACTCAGACTGGAGTGCAGTGGTACCATCATGACTTACTGCAGCCTCAGCCTCCTGGGCTTAAGCAATCCTCCTGCTTCAGCCTCCTAAGTAGCTAGGACTATAGTCATGCCCCACCACGTGGGCCCATTCAATTTTTTTTCTATTTGGTAAAGACAGGGTCTCACTTTGTTGCCCAAGCTGGTCTCGAGCATCTGTCATCAAGCAATCCTCCTGCTCAGTCTCCCAAAGTGTTGGGATTAAAGGTGTGCATCGCTATGCCCAGCTGTATTTTTATTATGACTTGTTCTGAAAGGCCATTTATTAATTTACTAAGATAGGAATAATTCATGAAGATGCAAACTTTTTATAGGAGATAGAATTAGGGCATTGAGAAGAGACAGGTATATGAGTGTGCAAGGGGAATACAGCCAGATGGGAGGTTGGGTCACCTCTTTTACCCTTGGCAACCTGAATTTATACAGCTGTTATGAGCTAAACTGAATACCACAATAGATTATGAAGACAACATAACAGCATCATAAATAGAGCCCTATCTAGATGTAAGCTATGACATTAGCACCTAGCATTCTGTTCAAAGATGTGTGCCTTCAAAGTTAAATGCAATGAAAACGCAGGTTTCACTAGCTTGTCAATATCTGTAGTGGTGATAACGAACTACGTGATGGGTGAGCATAAGACATACCCCAGAGCTGTGACACAGGAGAATATGTGAGTGTGAAGGGAACTGCGGAGCAAAAAGTCCTTGCAGGTGAGAAGTTTCCTCTCTTCTGGGAGAGGAGTAACAAAGAAAATGGTCAAACATCCTCTGCAGGGGAAAAATGTGTTTATCGGAAAAACACAGCCCTAAAGACATTGAGTTTCCTAATATACACCAAATCAGAAAAACTTCACATTGAACAAATTCTGTCGCAACCTAGTTTAGAACAGTGCTAAACTGATGTGGCAGATGTGATGTGTCTTCATGACAGAAACTCTCTATCCATGACTGCAATGAACAAAATCTGAAACAGAGCAGGGGCCAGGTGGGAGGTGACAGCTTGTGGGTCTACCTGGTCCAGGAACCCGAGACACACCACTATGCTTCTAAATCTCTTCTTAAAATTGCAGCTGGGTATTTATAAGATTAAACTACCCAGATGGCTGCTTCTTTATTTTGGATCTCTTCATTAAGTAGTTACTTTTCTCACATCAGGAGGCTGATAAATAAGGAGAAATGCAAGAACCACTGAGGAAATGCTCAAATGTGTCCAATTCCCACCATCCTTCAAATCCCAGCTCTGCACTAATTTTCCCCCAAGGTCTGCTCCAAGATATAGAGCTGACTTTAATAGATTTTTATCGCATGTATAGGTAAGATGATAAAATTTCCCAGTGATTCCCCTATTATGTGTTATCCTAGCTGCTGAAATATGTCCCAAGTAACATGTTAAAATATTGGTAGTGATTCTTTTCATAAAAAAAGCAAACGGGGCTGGGCGTGGTGGCTCATGCCTGTAATCCCAACACTTTGGGAGGCCAAGGCGGGTGGATCACCTGAGGTCAGGAGTTAGAGACCAGCCTGGCCAACATGGTGAAACCCGTCTCTACTAAAAATATGACAACAACAGCAACAAAAATTAGCCAGTCATGGTGGTGCACACCTGTAATCCCAGCTACTCAGGAGACTGAGAGGGGAGAATTGCTTGAACCCAGGGGGCGGCGACTGCAGTGAGCCGAGATGGCACCACCATACTCCAGCCTGAGTGACAGAGTTAGACTCCTCAAAAAAAAAAAAAAAAAGAAAAAAAAGCAGCTGGAGCTGGCGAGGGTCATTTTTACACTATTTTGCTCCCTCTCCCGTACTCTGACAATGCTTTTCTGAAGAAGCAGTGAGAAGGAACACCCAGTCCTGGGGGATTCCTTACGGCCCACATCTTCTCTGCCTTCAACTGCAACCACGTGTGAGCTCCCCCATCACACTGTTTCGACATTATTCACCACAGGCCCTTCTTATTCTTCAATAATTACTAAAAGCACTGGCTTTTAGGTGATCAGGTACAATGCATACAAGATATTTAGCAAGGAAAAGAGGAAACTACTTTTGCTAAAGGATGCTTTTAGCCCTACTTAATGCATGCCTGTAGGCATACAACGGTAGTGTTTTCCTCAACTCAAACCCTGTGATTTAGTAAACATGCACTTTCAGTTTTTAAAAGGCAGACATAAAGAGAAATACAACACACAGGCATTTTACCTACCGTTTATTCTTTAAGCTGGTTGGAACTGCACATTAACCGGATAGTTTTGGGCTTTACAGACTTCTCATTTTGAGAATGATACAGACCCAAGGGATATACAGAGGAAACAGCAGAACTTTTCCACTGAAGAGATTTGTTGCCATTGAGCCTGATGAAGTGCTTTCTTTCTGCCTCATGCCGCCAGCCCCGGGTCTTCCACGCTGGTGAGAATGGGCTCCAGCCCTTCATGGGCCCTGAGCCAGCCTGCATCATCCTACCTCTTGTTCTCAACACTGGTCCTGGTGTGTGACCTTTCTGAGGCCCCTTCTCTGCTGTAACTGGCCTGCATCCTCAATCATACAGTGCCACTCTGGGAACAACCCTATGGCATGCAGTGCAGCCCCTGGGATATGCTCCGGGTTCCTTTAACATGGTTAAGGGAAGTGGGAAGTCCCACGTGCCAACAGTCAGAGAGAGATTCTGTCAAGTTCCCATAGACTGCTCGGACTCCGTTCCTGGCTTCCTCATTCAGTAGTTGTGAACTTAGCAAGTTAGTTTATTTCTTTAACTGTAAAATGGAGATAATAGCAGGAATCCCATAGGGTCCTTGTGAGGACAGAAAAAGGGAGTTTTTGCAGAGCACGATGTAAGTATCTACGGTTCTTAGCAAACCCCCTCTGACTCTGTCTTGGCTTAAAGAGAAATTCAGCTTCATCACAGCAAGTTCCTCCCGACTTGTTGCAGGAGAGGTAGAACTGGAGTTCTCTGTTTTTTGTTGTTGTGTGTTTTATTTTTTATTTTTTATTTTATGGAGTCTCGCTCTGTCGCCCAGGCTGGAGTGCAGTGGCGCGATCTCGGCTCACTGCAAGCTCTGCCTCCCAGGTTCACACCATTCTCCTGCCTCAGCCTCCCGAGTAGCTGGGACTACAGGCGCCCGCCACCACGCCCGGCTAATTTTTTTGTATTTTTAGTAGAGACGGGGTTTCACCGTGTTAGCCAGGACGGTCTTGATCTCCTCACCTCGTGATCCACCCGCCTCAGCCCCCCAAAGTGCTGGGATTACAGGCGTGAGCCACCGCACCTGGGCACGTTCTCGTTTTAGCATAAGGAATTTGGTAGGGGCTCTGCTGCCCCAACACCATTACCAGACCATAGGACATGACCTATCTTCATAAGGTCCATTTGTTCACTTACAGACACCTTCCTAGATGGTTTCAGCACTGGGCTCACAGTATCATCTCTACCTGTCCATCTTCACTGTCACAACTTCACAATCTACAGTGACAACTTTCTAGACTCTAGGACATAATTCTCCAATTCCAGTGACTGTCATCTCTCTTCTAACTGCACTTCAAATTGTTATGTATTTTTATTCACCCTTTCTTCTTTCATTCCTGGTAACTTCCTGACAAAGATGTGCCTTTTCTCTCTCCCAGGGCACACCTTGACCTGCAACCTAGATTCTACATTTTTCCCTTCTCTGGGGTGGAGGTTGTCAAATTGTCATCCCCAGGTCAACTGCATCAGCATCACCTGGGAACTTGTTAGAAAGGCCGGTTCTTAGGCTGTACCCAGTTTCTGATGAACAGAGACTCTGGGGCTGAGGCCAGGAAGCCTGTATTTAAACAAGTCCTGCAGGGAATTCTGTAGTCTAACTTTTTTTTCTTTCCTTTCTTTCTTTTCTTTTCTTTTTTTTTTTTTTTTTTTTTTAAATGAGAGAGAGTTTTGCTCTTGTCGCCTAGGCTAGAGTGCAATGACACAATCTCAGCTCACCGCAACCTCCGCCTCCCAGGTTCAGGTGATTCTCCTGCCTCAGAGCTCCTGAGTAGCTGGATAATATTATAGGCACCCACCATCATGCCCTGCTAATTTTTGTGTTTTTAGTAGAGATGGTGTTTCACCATGTTGGCCAGGCTGGTCTCAGGTGATCTGCCCACCTTGGCCTCCCAAAGTGCTGGGATTACAGGTGTGAGCCACCATGCCCGGCCCAAGCTAACATTTAAGAACTACCATTCCAGGGATTTTAGTAGTAGGTCCAGGTACAGTGGCTCACCCCTATAATCCCAGTACTTTGGGAGGCTGAAGTGGGAGGACTGCTTAAGCCCAAGAGTTTGAGGCTACAGTGAGCTGTGACTGTACCACTACGCTCCAGCCTGGGCAACAGAGCAAGACCCTATCTCTATTAAAAAACAAAAAGAAAGTGTCTTTCCCTCTCCATTATCCCTTCTTTTCTGCTTCTTTTCTTCTACTTAATCCTGTTCATTTTGCCCATGCCCTTAAAAGAAAACAAAAATAGCTCTCGGGTTTGGAGGCAAAGAATTTCCCTGTGTTGAGCAAAATGTAAAGATTTTTTTAAAAAGAAATCTGAATCTTGTTCTTCCTCTAAACTTTCATTAAATCTTTATTTTATATCATTAACAATGCTCTAACCAGGGATGTGATGTACTTTCTGTTCATGCCTTTTTTTTTTTCAAAGTCACTCCAAGATTTCTTAAATTGGGCTTCCACACCTACCATGTTCTAATAAAACAATTCTTTCCAAAGCCAGTGATCATGTCTTATTTTCCAAACTTTAAAGCTCCCCCACTCCTCTCTCTGCAGCATTTGACGTTGCTGAACACTCCCTGACTCTGCAAAGTCCTATTCTAGTTTGCTGAAAATGCAAGATCCGAATTCTCCTTCTCCCTGACCACTGTTTCTTAGCCTTTGCCAGTTCTTCTGTCTCTTACAGATCTTTCCCAACATTCTGTCATTCGCTCCACTCAAATTCTCCTTTCCCTACTATTTCACCTTTATGAATTCAATGATCACCCCTAGGTGATAACCCCAGATTAATCTTGCTATCCAAATCTCTCATCTTAGCTCTACTTCCACAAAACATGCAACTTTCTCCATGCTTCCAAATACACGGTCTATGGTGCCTCAAATTTAACACATTTTAACAACAAGATAAGGTGATGTCAACTTATCTTTAGTGGAAACCATATTCTAATGTCAACTTCCCAGTTTTTATAAATCACACCATCATCCTCCAAATGTAGTACACCATGTCTCAAAATAGTGTTCCAGAAAATCCTAGATCCTTTCCACATTTACCTATCAACTTTTTATTTATTTATTTTTTTTTTTTGAGACAGAGCCTTGCTCTGTCACCCAGGGTGGAGTACAACGGCATAATCACAGCCTCACTGCAGCCTCAACCTTCTGTGCTCATCCAATCCTCCTACCTCAGCTTCCCAAGTAGCTAGGACCACAGGTGCACACCATCACACCTAATTTTTTATTTTTTTAGAGACAGGGTCTCACTGTATTGCCCAAAATGGTCTCAAACTTCTGGGCTCCAGCGATCCTCCTGCCTCGGCCTTCCAAACTGCTAGGATTACAGGCATGAGCCACTGTGCCTAGCTTATTTTTAAAAAAGAGTTTCTGTGGACAAATAAGTATGGGAAATTAGACAACACCATCTTCTTCTTGGAGTGTCACAGCGCATGTTAGCATATTATAGGCTCTGAGAAGTCTTACAGAGAAAATCAGTGCATGCAATTACAAGTTGACTTGAGCAAAGTCTCAGTAACATCTGTGATACTAAGTAGTGTCACTGGAAACATCTACCAATACACATTAGAAAGCACTCCCTTTATCACCCATCTCCTCTCTTGTCTCCAGTTATTTGTCCAGCCTCATTGATTCTTTTCCTTGCAGAGATCTTGTTTCTAGTCTTATAGTCACCTTAACATGTCAGGCCCCTGCTACTTACTGCCCAAGTATTGCAACAGATGACCTCACTTTCACACTCTTGAACATTTACTCCAGCCTAATTTAGTTTCAAGCCAGATTAGTTTGCTTAAAATTCTGCTCTGATGATTTCATTTCCTGGTTCAAAACCTTCACTCAATGAAAGAAAATAGTCAATCACACAGAAAATACCATTTCAGGTCCTTTCTCATGCAGACTGCCATCCCTTTCCTTCCCTCCATTCTTCTGTGCTTCATGCTTCATCCAAAAGGACCCCTGGTCCTTAAATTTCCTCTCATCTGAGCTCTGGCTGTGGCTGTTTCTTTATTTCATCATGGAAAGTCTTCCTCAGGCATCACAACTTCTCCAAGTCTTATTTATTCTCCAAGGCTCAGCTACAATCCCACCACTTCTTTTTATGAGATGGAGCTTCACTCTGGTCACCCAGGCTGGAGTGTAATGGTGTGATCTTGGCTCACTGAAACCTCCTCCTCCTGGGTTCAAGCGATTCTCCTGCCTCAGCCTCCTGAGTAGCTGGAATTACAGGCATGTGCCACCACGCCCAGCTAATTTTTGTATTTTTGGTAGAGACAGGGTTTCACCATGTTGACCAGGCTGGTCTCAAACTTCTGACGTCATGTGATCTGCCTGCCTTGGTCTCCCAAAGTGCTGGGATTACAGGCGTGAGCCATCACACCTGGCCCAATCCCACCACTTCTACAGGGCTTCCTGGTGCCCCGGTCATAAATTATCCCTTCTCTTTTTGACATCCCAGAGCACTGTATTCACTGTGCTTGTTACATCTGGCCTTCCGTCTTCAGAATGAAGCATCAGAAGGACACAGACGGTCTCTCTCGTTCATATTTATTTCCCCATGCACATCTTGCTTAGAGAGCTCTAGAAGTAACCTGAATAATGAATAACAATCACATTACGTACCTCGGAAATCTCCTGTACATAGGAAAGGATACTCACTCATGTTTTTCAATTCAGAGCCAATGACACTGGAAACTCTGTTGCCAAAATATGGCCAGTACGTGTGTAATGGAAAAGAAAATTCTCCACATTCTTCTTTAAAGTGCAAGCCTCTTTTAATACTAAGTACTGCAATTTTTGTTAAATTGATGCTCTGTTGGTAGTTATAAACACCGTAGTTCAAGATAAACTATCGGACATAGTAATTTGTACCAGTTCTCAGGGTGCCAGCTGCTAGACAATTTCCCCTCTCGTTCCTGAGAGGAATCAGATGTGTTCAAATTCCCCCAAACAACTTTAATAATGAACTGAAAAAATAACAGAATAATGTTAGCATGTCAGGTATTACCCAAAAAACCATGGGCAGAAGCAAAACACCTATCTCACTGTATTAGATACTTGTGGTAGGGAAAAACTGGGGCAAATTCAATGTGTGTAATAAATGAGCAACAAACACTTGGTGAAAACAAAATTAAAAGCTTGGAATTACCAGTTCAACAAAATGGTTTTTAATCTTTCCAGAAAACAAATGGTAAAACCATAGAAACTTAGTACAACTGCAAAAGTCCAAAAAAGTCTTTTTTGCTTCTCATGATATCATTGATTACTTTGTTCCCTCAATTTACAATTCTAAATGCCATCATCTTTCACTAATACTCAAACCAGTGTGTTACTTTACCCTCTCTATGAAATGGAAGGGGAGAAGGAAGCTAGCTAGCATTGGCTGAATTCTCACAGCAATCTTTGTCAAGCTGTTATTTTACAAATTACTTACAAATTACGGAAATCTAGAGTAGCATAGCAGAGCGGATTAAGTGAACTCACTCGGGTACTAAACACCTCTAGTACTAAATACGTAGGTTGCAGTCCTGCTTACTTTTTTCCTAGCTGTGGGACGTTGCACAAGTGACTTCACAGTCTCCCCACTGCTCCCGCCATAAAACTTGGATACTGAGAGTTTCTATTTTTTGCAGTTATTGCAAGCATTAAATGAATTATCATCTGTGAAGGACTTAGAATAATGCTTGGCAATGGTAAGCTCTTTGTATAAATATTTGTTAAATAAACAGAAAATACAATCAATTCAGTAACTTGCTGAAGGACACACAGTGAAATAAGTGATAGAATTGGGATGTTAACCCAGATCGTTCTGGCTCTTTGCACTCGACTGTCCTCAGTGGAAAGAATGACACCTTCTCTCTGCATCCTCTCCTGGTGGAAAGGATGAGGAAGCTCTCTGGGGCTTCTTTTCTAAGGGCACTAATCCCATTCATGAGGGCTCCACCCTCATGAGCTCATCACCTCCCTAA
This sequence comes from Homo sapiens, assembly GCF_000001405.40. NCBI lineage: Eukaryota > Metazoa > Chordata > Mammalia > Primates > Hominidae > Homo > Homo sapiens. Next base: position 18,444,169 of record NC_000010.11, on the reverse strand, counting down.
GGCACCCCCTCCTAAAACCATCACCTTTGGCGTTAGGATTTCAACATTTGAATTCTGGGGACACGAACATTTAGACCACAGCAGGGAGAATCCTTAAGAGCAGTGGGAGTGATGAAAAGGGATCCTTTTTCAGGGTCTAGTCTAAGAAAGGGCGTGGCTGGGTGTGGTGGCTCACGCCTGTAATTCCAGCACTTCGGGAGGCCAAGGCGGGCGGATTGCTCGAGGTTAGGCATTCAAGACTAGTCTGGCCAACATGGCGAAACCTCGTCTCTATTAAAAATACAAAAATTAGCTAGGTGTGGCGGCAGGCACCTGTAACCCCAGCTACTTGGGAGGCTGAGGCAGGAGAATCTCTTGAACCTGGGAGGTGGAGGTTTCAGTGAGCTGAGATCATGCCACTGCATTCCAGCCTGGGTGACAGAGTGAGACTCTGTTTAAAAAAAAAAAAAAAAAGGTATGTAGGAATTGAATCATCTGGTTCATTCCCTGCACCTGGATAAGGACAGAAGGCTCTCTTCCAACATTATACTGAGTGGTCCTGGGAGGAAAGGGACAATAAAGGATTCTCAACCTCTGGAGAACAATATTTGCTCAAATTACTTAATGCCTATTAGTTACTCAAATTATTTAAGACAATCTGAGGAGTTGGGTCTACACTTTCCCCTTATGCCTCTCAGGAAACAGAACTCAATAACCCATAGCAGGAGAAGCCCGGCAGAACAGCACAGCTTGCTAGAAAGGAGGCCTGGGCTCCTGCTGGCCCTGCACCCAAGTCCCCTGCTTGTCAGAAGCCTCATTGGTTCCCTAGTCAACCTGAAAACGTGCCTCCGGTACTCCAGGTGAACTGATGAGTGTGCTGTCACTGGAAATGGCCTCTTCCTTCAGTTAGGACACTAGGGTGTTTCTCACTGGCCCTCGTTTGCACAGACCCACTGATTCACTGTCTGTGTAGCACCCGTCAGCATTCAGGCACTGAATTGGGGATTAAAACATAAAAAAGCATATCTCACACCCTTAAAAACTTCACGACTCAGTCAAATGCATGCTAAAGTAAAAACAAAAATGTGTAGAAAAAATTAAGATCTGTTCAGCCTTCATACTGCAGAAAATTATGTATAGTTAAGTTCCTTATTTATATATATATATATATATATACATATATATATATACACATATATATATACATATATATATATACACATATATATATACATATATATATATACACATATATATATATATACATATATATATATATATTGTTTTTACATGTAGACCCAACAACATGGATACACTCAAGCTCTTTAATAGTCTCCACTATAATTCTTTCTTTCTTTTTTTTTTTTAAGGTGGAGTCTCGCTCTGTCACCAGGCTGGAGTGCAATGGCGCCATCTCGGCTCACTGCAACCTCCGATGCCCTGGTTCCAGGAATTCTCCTGCCTCAGCCTTCTGAGTAGCTGGGATTACAGGCACGTGCCACCACGCCCAGCTAATTTTTGTATTTTTAGTAGAGACGGGGTTTCATCATGTTGGCCAGGATGGTCTTGATATCTTGACCTCGTGATCTGCCCTCCTTGGCCTCCCAAAGTGCTGGGATTACAGGCGTGAGCCACTGTGCACAGCCTACTTATTTCTTAGAGAAGCATTATCTTATTTTATGACAACAACAAAAAAAAGGTAATACGATTACTCTGCCTGAGCTAAAGAAGAACCAGATTCGGCCAGGCGTGGTGGCTCACGCCTATAATTCCAGCGCTTTGGGAGGCCGAGGTGGGTGGATCACCTGAGGTCAGGGGTTTAAGACCAGCCTGGCCCACATGGTGAAACCCATCTCTACTAAAAATACAAAAAATTGGCTGGGCGTGGTTGCAGGCACCTGTAATCCCAGGTACCCATGAGGCTGACTCACAAGGATCACTGGTACCCAGGAGGCGGAGGTTGCAGTGAGTAGAGATCGCGCCATTGTCCTCCAGCCTAGGCAACAAGAGTGAAACTCCGTCTCAATAAAAAAAAGAATAGCCAGATTCAAACCAGGTGTGTCCACTACAAGGAACAGATCCTTTCCACCTCCCTCATCCTGTCTTGGTATGTCCACCTCATTCAGGGGACTAGATTTTCAATCAAGGAAAGTTCTAGAAGGAATTATGAGGCGAGGAGCTTGCAAGTACTTAGAAAATAAAAGCAGATACATTAATTACCTTAACTGTATATGTATACAACACACATGTATATCAAAACATCACACTGAGGCTGGATGCGGTGACTAACGCCTGTAATCCCAACATTTTGGGAGGCCAAAGCAGGTGAACCACTTGAGTCCAGGAGTTCGAGACTGGCCTGGCCAAGTCTCTATTAAAAATATAAAAATTATTTGGGTGTGGTGGCGCATGCCTATAGTCCCAGCTACTTGGGAGGCTGAGGTGGGAGGATGGCTTGAACCCAGGAGATCAAGGCTGCAGGGCGCTGTGACTGTGCCATTGCATTCCAGCCTGGGCGACAGTGAGACCCTGTCTTTAAAAAAAATTTAAAAAGCAACAACAAAAATCCCAGAAAACCACACACACTATGTATCATAAGTATATACAATTTTTATTTGTCAATTATACCTCAGTAAAGCCAGCAAAAAAAAGAAAAAAGGAAATTTTGTAGTAACAAAAAGAAAAAGATGAAAAGCAGAATTGCTAGGAGCCAGCAAAAGTTGATGAAAAACAAACCCCATCAAGGAAGCCGTATAGTTCAGTTTTTGGATGGTTATTTATTTTTTTGAGATGGAATCTTGCTCTGTCGGCAGACTAGAGTGCAGTGACGCGATATCAGCTCACTGTAACCTCTGACTCCCTGGTTCAAGCAATTCTCCTGCCTCAGCCTCCTGAGTAGCTGGGATTACAGGCATGCGCCACCACACCCAGCTAATTTTTTCTATTTTTAGTAGAGACGGGGTTTCACCATGTTGGCCAGGATGGTCTCGACCTCCTGACCTGGGTGATCTACCCTCCTTGGCCTCCCAAAGTGCTGGGATTACAGGCGTGAGCCACCACACCCAGCCGGATGGTTATTAAACTGGAGTAAGGACTGAGGTCAACAACACCCCTCAACTACTGGCCACCTGACCCATTTCCCGCTTCCACACTGGTTCCCAATCCCATGGCTTTTTCCCCACAAAGCAATCAGTGTTTTTCTTTTATGAGGGCTTTTAAGATTTGAAGTTTATATCAAATCATGCCACTCTTGCTCAGCACCTTCCATCAGATGTTCTAACATTCACAACATAGTCCAAAGGCTTCCCCATGGCCTGCATCTCTGGCCTGCAAGTCCCTGTGTGACCTTTGACCTGCCTCTCTTTCCCCTTTCTCTGTATTCAGACACACTGGGATCTGGGCTGTTCCTAGAATGTGCTTCAGAGCTTTGCCTTTATGGTTTCCACTGCCTGAAATAATCTATCCTCAAATATCCACATGGACACATTCTCACTCCATTCACAATTTTGATCAAATGTCACCTTCACAGAAGCTTTTCTCTGGGGGGTGGGGGATAGGGCCTTGCTCTGTCACCCAGGCTGGAGTGCAGTGGCATGATCACAACTCACTGCAACCTCTAAGTGATCCTCCCGAGTAGCTGGCACCACAGATGTGGACCACCATGCCAGTTAATTTTTGATTTTTTGCCATGAGGGGTCACACTATGTTGCCCAATCTGGTCTCCAACTCCTGAGCTCTGGCAATCCTCCCGCCTCAGACACTTCAAATGCTGGGATTACTGGTGTGAGCCACTGCGCTTGGCCCACAGAAGCCATTTTTATCACTCCCCAACTCCTCATCCTCTTTACCTTCTTAGTTTTTACTATGGACTGAACATGTTCCCCCAAAATTCATATGTTGAAACTTAATCTCCAAGGCTATAGTTATCAGCAGGTGGGGCTTTAACAAGGTAGTTAGGTCATGAGTGTGGGGCCCCCATGAATAAGATTATGCCTTTATAAAAGGGATTGAAGGAGCCTGTCCATCCTTTTTTGCCCTTCCACTCCCTCTCCCACATGAAGACACAGCAACAAGAGGCCACATGTGAAGCAGAGATCAAACCTTCCCCAGACACTGAATCTACCGGTGCCTTGATCTTAGACTTCTCTGCCTCCAGAACTGTGATCAATAAATTCCTATTGTTTATAAATCACTCAGGTGAAAATATTATAGCAGCAGAACAGAGACTATTTTTTAGCACTTACTGCTACAACACATTATCTACATATATATTTGCATGTGGCCTATTTCTCCGAGCTAGACTGTAATCCTACTGACGGCAGGGGCTTTGTTTTGTTTACTCTGTTCCTGGTGGCTGGGAGATCACTGGCATGCAGTAGGCAGAAGGGAGGGAGGGAGGAAGGATGAGCGAATCTGGATTTCAGCCGAGTATCAGATGAGCTTTCTTATTCTTGCAGAGAAGCTATTAGAAGCTGAATGACAAATAATTAAGCTGATTTATAACTGCATAAACAACCAAACTTTAAACATCCCAATTTACAGTGTGATAATATGAAGGGTTACTTAGAGCATGATTTCAAAGGTGATAGCGGGAGGTGGGGAAATTAATGTCTCCAGAGGAAAGCAATTCAGAATACTTGGAGAAGGTTTCAAATTGTACCTTGAAGGGGATCAGAAGAGGTCATCCCCAAAATATGCGACCTTGCCATAAGGATTATATTGAACTGAAGGTGGCTGAGAATCTACAAATGCAGGAGAAATTCTCTGCCTTCCCCTCATCTACCTAAAACCAGGACTCAAATTTTCCCTTGTAAAATTCCCCTCTGCTGTACCAGGAACAGAAAAGTTGTGTCTTACTGCTGGAGATGGTGAGTTGGCATGGAGATGAGATGCAGAAACACACCTTACTAAAATAACCCTCATCTTCCATTAGCTTCCGCATATTCTTCCTAGTCACCTTCCTGCAATTCAGCATCTCGTGAAATGCAGACACCCTTTTCTTTGTTTAAAATGGTATATAAGCCCCCAATCCTCCCACTTCGACTTTCACTCCTTTTCTGTGAACTCCAGTGCATGTAAAATGTTAATAAAATTGCATGTCTCGTATCCTGTGAGATGTGCCTTTTGTTAGTTTAATTCACTGGCCTTAAATACTACACCGAAGAGGGTAGAGAAGTTATTTTCTCCCCGATGACCTTCAGTTTACCACCAATTCACGTGCTGGCCTACGCCATTCTATTCCGTGCCCTGCCAGATCACAAGTATTTAATCTGATGTGTTCTGCTTTGGAAGAGCTGTATTTATAGCACACTCACATGGGAGGAAATCAGGTAAGAGGGCATAAAAACATGTCACATGAGGACTTTGAGATTTTTAGCCCAGAGAAGAAAAAATCTAAAGAGGAAGAAGGTGATCGTATACTCCATAAGGCCCAGGGAGAACAGAACTGGGATCAAGGAATTGATGTTTTAAAGCAAAGCAAACCTTCGTTCTATATAAATCCGAATGCTCTAACAGAACTGTGAGCAGAGGGCACAGGCTTCCAGCCAAGAGGAGAAGAAACGGCCTTTTTGGGAAGATGTGGTGTGGGAGAACAGATGGATAACTGGCTTGAATCACTATTGGCGGCACGCAGGGTAAACACGAGCAGAGCACAGGTGGTGAGGGACCGCGAGGCTGCAGCTACCGCCCATTGGCTGTTGGGCCTTGACTGCCAATCAACAATTTTGGGCATAAGTTCTCTCCATCACAGCAAGATGGATTAAATCGGTGATTGGCCAACCCAGTTCCTGAGAGTCCAGGGTTCAGAGCAAATGGCATAGGAATGCTTTAGCAGTGGTTGGAAATAAAAATCCAACTGGGGGCAGGGCGCGGTGGCTCACGCCTGTAATCCCAGCCCTTTGGGAGGCCGAGGCGGGCGGACCACGAGGTCAGGAGATGGAGACCATCCTGGCTAGTGCGGTGAAACCCCGTCTCTACTAAAAATACAAAAAAAAAAAAAAAAAAATCGCCAGGTGTGCTGGCGGGCGGCTGTAGTCCCAGCTACTCAGGAGGCTGAGGCAGGAGAATGGCATGAACCCGGGAGGCGGAGCTTGCAGTAAACCGAGATAGCGCCACTGCATTCCAGCCTGGGTGACAGAGCGAGACTTCATCTCAAAAAAAAAAAAAAAAAAAAAAAAAAAAAAAAATCCAACTGGGCCAGGTATCCCGACACCCCCAGACTCAGGGCCATTCCCCTGAGTTTTAATACATTTCTAATTATAATAAGTTTCCAATCATTTTAGATACATTTCCATGTTCTATGTCAATTTGCCTCGATTACAAAAACTCTTTAAAAGATCTAGCCATAAATAATTTTCTATGACTTCGAAGTTTTGAGGCAACTGCTATATATGCCCAAATAGAAGGAGATTCCAAATATAAGGTGATGTCACATTTAACAAAGAATAAATACCTTGTGGCTGACTCTCAGTGCTGTCAAAGATAGTCAGATACTGTGGCAGAGATCCAAGATGCTTACTAACTCCATTTTCTTCCTCAGAATACAGACAACTAAATTTCTAGCCTTCCTTGCAGTTAGATTGGCCCACGTGATTGAATTTTGGCCAGTGAAATGCGTGGAGAATGATGCCTGCCATTTTCCAGCCTGGCAACAAAAGGACCTTTGTGATCTTCTCATGTTTTCTCTCTTCTGTGGAGACGGTATGCAGTATATAACACACAAAATATGTGTTAACCAACCTTTTATGATATTGGTAAAGCTTTGGGTCAACGATACGCTATTTGGTTTTTTTAGGAGTCAAAAGTTACACATGGATTTTGGCTTTGTAGGGGGTCCATGCCCATAACCTCTCATTGTTCAATGGCCAACTGCACTAACTTAGAAGTATCCCTCTCTCCACATCCTTATCCATATTTAATTTTTAAAAAATCCTCTGAAAACTTCTCATCTGTCTTGTGGATATCAGGAGAGATACTGGGTCACCTAACCCCTTTCTAATGGGAACTTCCTTTCAACTAATTGGAAACAGTATTTGTTTTGAATGTTTGAGTTTACCATAGCATCCAATATTTACAAGTGTGACGTCATGTCTCTAGAAGTAAATGTTAAATCTCTATTTAAACATTTAAGTCAAATGTATCAGGTGACTTATATAAACACACCAAAATAAGATTGATTGACATCATGCAGGCCCATGTATCTCCAGCAAGCAGCACATTGTTGTTCAAAATAAAGTAATGGAAAATGTACTTCTTGCACCATGGGAGATCTTGTGAGATTTCAAATATAAGGTGACTCTCTCTTTTCTGAAGAATAATTCTGAGGGGAAAAAAGCCTCATCTTATATTCAGGCATATGTGGCAATCTTTGGCAAATTTTTATTTCTGGACATTTATTTTTGCATATTCTCTAAGTGCATATGGAAAAAATAAACATGATTTATTTTTGTTCAGTTGTACAAGCTCATTTGGCTTTGGCATCTACATGGAATGGGAACCCAGTAACATTTTGTAGGTATAAAAACCTCTGATTATTTTTTCAGGTGCTTTTGAGTTAAAAAACAAACAAACAAACAAATATGCTTTGCAAGCAACAGTACTTCTGACTATAAAGCCACATGTAAGTCAAATAAAAGTAATCCACGCATACCTTCTCAAGGGCCAATTTTTACCTACAAGTCCTATTCTAATTTTGATCTATTGATGGAGGACAGGGAAGAGAAATGTGGCAATGATTAATAGAAAAGAAGTAGCATTGTTCTGATTGGTTGATTAGATTTTTGTTTTTGCTATCATTCTCTGCTTTGTTCTCCATGAACAGACTATCCGAGAAGGCTCAAGTTTATACTTTCTTGCCAAAATTTCTGGGTTAGCAAAGTATACTTGAAATGGCTTCTAGGATTTTGTTCAAAGTTGAAATGAAACAGAAGTTTCTAAACTTCTCCACCAAAGAGGGGAAAAACTCTTACTGGCAAACTCATCATTAATGACCATAAATTTTAAATCAATTAATTCACTATTTGTGAGTTACTGCACATAGCTTTAGATTTTCAAGGTAATAGCCAACAACTTTTATCTTTTAAAACATTCCTCATAGAAGGTGGAATAATAATTTTCATTCTGAAGTTCTCCTTTTGTTAAACTTATCAATTCTCTAAAAATGATCTAAGCATTTTAGAGTACTTAAAGTCATCGTACTTTCAAAAGCTCATTTATGCAAAACCGCTGTGTTCTGGGCTCACAGATGCTCTGGGCCCTCCAAAGAGGATCAGAATTGGTTGAGCTCTGTGTAGATCTCAATAATTTTGATGAGTGATTTTACATATAGGTGCACACATAAAACAAAGTTTCAGGATAAACAAACCTATTAAAAATTTTGGGTTGGTTGGGGGGCAGGTGGAGTGGCTCATGCTTGTATTCCCAGCACTTTGGGAGGCCAAGGCGGATGGATCCCTTGAGCCTGGGAGTTTGAGACCAGCCTGGGCAACATGGCGAAACCCCATCCCTACAAAAAAATACAAAAATTATCTGGATATGGTAGTGTGTGCCTGTAGTCTCAGCTACTTGGGAGGCTGAGGAGGGAGGATCGCTTGAGCCTGGGAGGTCGAGGCTGCAGTGAGCTATGTTCACCCCACTGCACTTCAGCCTGGGTGACAGAATGAGACCCTATATCAAAAAAGGTATGCAGGGGAAAGCAGTCAAAGATTGATTTGGTAGTTATTTCATGGTCTTATTACTGTCAAAGACTGAGGGAAAGAAGTGATCATTGGAAAGGAGTAGGGAGTTTCAGGAAAAGTGAAGACCCTACTCTCAGAAATTTTTCTGTTCATGTAGATGCCACCTATTGTCAACTCAGGTGGATTTTCACGGTTTTTAACGAAATATGTTGGATTGCCTATTGTCAGCTCGGCACTATGCCTCCGCCTGCCTTATACTTTCCCATCTAACAAAGAGCATGAATTCCTACGGATGATATTTTCAGATTCTCTGCCAACAGGGTTCCAGGTTGGACTCCTTGCAATGAGAGCCACTTGTGTGACACGCAGAAGGCAGAGGAGAAGCCAGATTATCCTTGTGTGACATGCAGAAGGCAGAGGAGAAGCCACCATCAGCAGAAGGCATCTACGTGGGCTCCAGCAGACCAGAGACTTTCCAGTTCCATTAGGCCAGCAGTTCTCAAAGTGTGGCTCAGGAACCCCTAGAAGCTCTAGAGACCCTTTTAGGGATTCCACAAGGTCAAAACTATTTTCTTAATGGCACTAAGACATCATTTGCCTTCTAATATTCTCGTTCTCTCATGATGGTAGATTGGAATTTTTCAAATACTTACACGACCTGTGATGACTTTATCACTCTGATAGCTAGGGGAGTGCCTGCTTCCTTATTCTTGTAATTTATTTTTTTCTGTTTTAATTTCTAATGCAAAAAACACCATTAGGCATAAGCTATACAAGCAAAAGCTCACTGAGGTGTTCAATAATTTTTTTAGGGCCAGGCACAATGACTCATGCCTATAACCTCAGCACTTTGGGAGGCCAAGGTGGGTGGATTGTTTGAGCCCAGAAGTTCGAGACCAGCCTAGGCAACCTAGCAAGACCCTGTCTCTATAAAAAATATAATAATCATCATCATATTAATTTTTAAGAATGTAAAGTGGTCACGAGACTAAAACATTTGGGAAATGCTATTCCAGGTTGTGTCCTGAAAATCACCCAACCAATGCCTTAGGTAGCTGCAATTATCAGCAATGATTTTTAGTAATTCTGGAAACTTCCTGATTCCCCAAATTCTACTGGCTACACTGAGAACTGGCAGGTTTCTCTGACTTTATTCCTTCAGTCCTTTCAGATTTTGTACATTCCTAATTCCCTATGTTAAATCACTTTATCCCTGAAATATTTGAAGTGCTTTCTGTCTTCCTGACTAAATCATGAATAGAGGTCATGATTTATATATGAACTCTATAATATAAATTTGTTTTTAATAGATCTTTAAAATCATACCATATGAGAAACCTCTTCCCCACTCCTATAACGAATTAGAAGATCATATCTTCAAACCATTTTCTTTCAGTTCATGGCCAAAATTCCCAATGTTCTATGTTTTAAAATGGTTTTTCTGTATAAAACATGCCATATGCTTTTCAGAGAAAGCTCAAAATTAACTGGTAAAGCTTTATATACAACTCTACCGAAGCTCTTGCTGGAATGGATAGGAATACTGTAGCACAGTATGTTCTAACACAATTGTGTTCCAAGAAGTTCCAAGCTATTAAAACAACAACAACAACAACAACAACAACAACAACAACAACAAAATCTGATTTAAGACAATAGTTTTGATGGTAGAAAAAAGGATTAGGGGATAGACAGTTTCAAACTTGCCATAACACGTTTACTGTTCCCTATAAGTATTTACATAATTCTTATTTTTGTAATGTAGCTACAAGTTACAGATTGGACTCCTTGTTCCACTCTTTCCTCCTTCTCAACACTGTACTTGACTAGCTTAAGAAAAAAATATAGTTATAAACCTTAAATATCACTCACAGACCCATCATTTCATTACATCTAGTATTTGCATGAGAAAGGGCTTTTCTTTACCAAGACCAGCTATTACCAGCACAGATTATTACACCTCCTTAACACTCTATAATAAACCAAGGCAACTCATACAAAGCTTCTGAGTTGCAGAAACATCAGCTATTTTTCCTAAGTGCTTGGTCTTGGATAACAACAGCAATACAATCAACAGAGTTCTGTGCAGGGCAAAACTGGATGCTTAATCCATCACCTGGTCTCCACTAAAATTGAATTATGAGAAATGCTGTAAAGTAGCCTGGCTTTATAAAAGAGAAACTGGTTTTTTTGTGGTCGCTGATCCAGTTATATTAAACTGCTTGCCATTTCTAAAACCAATCTTGCTCTCTCTCCTGCTCTTGGGAATATGCCGGTCCCCTTGCATGAAATACTCTATCTTGATCATCTTGCTATATCTATCTGCATGTGGCATTGGCATACTGCCTTGTACTTAATAGGATTTCAAATATATATATATATATATATCAATACACGCATATACATATATTTATTTTAATGAATAAATAGTGTTATCTAAACAGTTACTTTCTAACAAGGTAAAAAAAAATGTAAACACAGAAACAGGAAGCCCAAAGGGAAGCGATATTTGGGCAGTCATAAAAGATAGCTGACACCAGTCATCTCTATCTCTCTTTTATCTCAAAGGTGTTAAAATATTTTCTTTGGCTATATTTCCTATTGCTTTGAAATACAACATCAATGAATTTCTTTTTACTACAGTTTTTTGTTTGTTTGTTTGTTTGTTTGTTTGTTTTTTTAGACAGGGCTGACTCTGTCACCCTGGTAGAGTACAATGGCACAGTCTTGGCTCATTGCAACCTCTGCCTCCTGGCTCAAGCCATCCTCCCGCCTTAGCCTCCCAAGTAGCTGGGACTACAGGTACACTCCACCATGCTGGGCTAGTTTTTGTATTTTTTTTGTAGAGACAAGGTTTTACCATGTTGCCCAGGCTGGTCTGGAACTCCTGAGCTCAAGCAATCTGCTTGCCTCTGGCCTCCCAAAGTGCTGGGAATACAGGTGTAAGTCACTGCACCCAGCCTGGAATGTTTTTGAAAATGTATTTTTATATTTTTGTTTTTAACAGTAGTATTGAGGTATAGGGACAGGGACACACACACACACACACACACACACACACAGAGACACACACATCCATCCCTCCACAGAGTGCAATTTGTGTTAAGTTTTAACTTATGTGATTATCTGTGAAACCATTACCACAACCAAGATTATGAGCAGATCAGGACATCAGAAGGGGCAGGAGGGAAGGATTATCAAAGACTGTGAAGAAGCTTTTGGGTGACAGATTTGTTGTCACATTTAACATTTTAAATCTTACTTCAAATAGAATATATGTGGTATTTGTTTAAACTGAGGCTAGCTACAAGTCAAGGGAAAAATCTTAGTGAATAGCTTGACATTTTGGATAATTAAAACAGAGCTTTTCCTCCCCTCTAAGACTTGGAAGCACCATCTCTATTTCTAAAATTAATTGATATTTCTTTACAAACATAAATAATAGTCTTGGGCCGGGTGCGGTGGCTCATGCCTGTAATCCCAGCTCTTTGGGAGACTAAGGCAGGCGGATCACGAGGTCAGGAGTTCGAGACCAGCCTGGCCAATATGGTGAAACCCTATTTGCACTAAAAATACAAAAATTATCTGGGTATAGCGGCACACGCCTGCAGTTCCAGCTACTCAGGAGGCTGAGTCAGAAAAATTGCTTGAACCCAGGAGGCAGAGGTTGTAGTAAGCTGAGATCACGCCACTGCACTCCAGCCTAGGCAACAGAGCGAGACTCCATCTCAAAAAAAAAAGAAAAAGAAATGAGATTCAATGAGGTCAACAAAGATATCTTTGGGGCTTATCCATGCTTATCCATTTTGTTTCTTGGCTTTTTTATCAAATGAGTGGACTGTAATTTCATCTCCGTTAACTTCCTCATTTTGGCTTTTTTAAGGAGGAAAATATTGTAATTTATATGTAAAGCTCTTAAAGGGAAAAAGCCTGATCAGCTCTTGATGTTTCATATCATAGACTTTCAGAGGTAAAGCCTGTGTTTATGTTGACATTTTCACTAACTTTGCTGAAGTTCATTCTAGGTATAAATCGAGTATGTTTTCTCTCACAAGCAGTAACCACAGGAAAAGGCAATAGATTTTTACATATTTATAAAAGAAGTTGGGACCTACTTGAGGCATCAGTAGAAAAGCAGATTCATTCTGGACCCACAAGCAAATGTGAATGGATGAAGAAGTTAAATGAGCCAACACTGTGTGGTTGTTTTAAGTATTATAAAATCTCAGACAGGCCAGGAATGGTGGTTCACGCCTAAAATCCCAGCACTTTGGGAGGCCATGGCAGGAGGATCACTTGCCCAGGAGTTTGAGACGAGGCTGTGCAACACACCGAGACCCCATCGCTACAAAAACATTTAAAAATTAGCCAGATGTAGTAGTACACTCCTGTATCTCAGCTACCCTGGAGACTGAGGTGAGAGGATTGCTTGAACCCAGGAGGCTGAGATTACAGTGAGCTACTATATGATCATGCCACTGCACTCCAACCTGGGTGACAGAGTGAGATCCTGTCTCCAGATTTAAAAAAATATATAAAATCTCAGATAAAGGAGGCATCAAATAGAAATATAATTACAAAAGCATCTGACCAGACCCAAATATAAATGATAGAGATTATCTTCTTAATCCCTTCAGTTGACACTAACTGCAAATACAAAAATGGTTTCCATGTGAATAAATAGTAATCAAGTAATATGTACTTTTCACCTTTCCCTCAACACATTTGCATGTTAGAATTATATCTACCCCTCTTAATAGTTTCTTTTTAGGAATGTATCAGAGCAACACAGATCACAGGACAGAAGGCTTCCTTCTACCCAGTCCTATGTTGAGACATTGAACTGTAATGAGATAACTTTACTACTGATTGACTGATCGATTGAGACAAGGTCTCACTCTGTTGCCCAGGCTGGAGTGCAGTGGCGCAATCACGGCTCACTGCTGCCTCAACCTCCTGGGCTCCAGGGATCCTCCCACCTCAGCCTCCCACATACCTGGAACTATAGGCCTCCACCACCACACCCAGTTAATTAATTAATTTTTTTTTTTTAAGAGACAGGGTCTCCCTATGTAGTGCAGGTGGGAGATAACTTTAGAAGTTAACCTGCAACTCCTAAAAAAAGAAATCCTGATATGCAATTTTAACTAAAGAGGATAAAAATAAATGTATTTTCTCTCCCTCCTCACTCCAAGTTTCATGGAAATATAGAATGCAAACATGCTGTGTGACTAGAGGTTCGAAGACAGGTTTGTGTGTTTAGACGCGTCTCAATATTTTCTAGTACCCTGGATGTCTGTTGACATTTGGCCTATTCTACTTAAAAAACACGGTTTCTTCTTCCCTAGTATTTTAGGTAATATGTCCCTTTTTTTTTTTTTAACATCTTCTTGATTTTCTGCTTAAGTAAATAATTGTAAAATAAATAGAAGATTATACCAAAATTCAGATAAAATAATGTGGGGTAAAACCTCATTCATGTATCTGCGAATTCTGGCAATGGAGCTAAGTTGACTTTTTTTGTTTTGTTTTTTGAGACAGGGTCTTTCTGTGTCACCCACAGTAGAGTGCAGTGGCGCGATCACAGCTCATTGCAGCCTTGAACTCCTGGGCTCAAGTGATCTTCCCACCCCAGCCTCCTGAGTACCTGGGATACAGGTGTACAACATCATGCTTGGTTAATTTGTTTTTTTTTTTTTTTTTTCGGTAGAGACGGAGTCTTGCTATGTTGCCCAAGCTGGTCTTGAACTCCTGGGCTCAAGTGATCCTCCCACCCCAGCTTCCTGAGTACCTGGGATACAGGTGTACAACATCATTCTTGGTTAATTTGGTTTTTTTTTTTTTTTTTGGTAGAGACGGAGTCTTGCTATGTTGCCCAAGCTGGTCTTGAACTCCTGGGCACAAGTGATACCCCCGCCTTGGCCTCCCAAAGTGCCAGGATTACAGGTATGAGTCACCATGCCTGGCCTAACTTGACATTTTGAACAAACATTCCACTGAAGAATACCTAACAATGCTGGATGACTTCATTTACTTTTCAACTTTTAAGAGCTAATGGTTGAGGGTTTTCCAGGGTTGACAAAATTCTCAAATCCTCATATTCAGGAGGCACAATGAATCCGAAGCAGGAAAAAGTGAAACATAAACCAGTACCTGGATGGATCACAGTGAGATGACACCACACCAAAGACAGAGAAGAAGACTTGAAAGGATTTAGGAAGAGAGACTGCATACAAAGAGCTGACATGGTTATAATGAGAGTTGACTCCTCAACAGTCAGAAGCCAACTGTCAATCAAATACCATCTTTCAAGTTCCAGGAAAAAGTATAAACCTACAATCATTTTCAACAAAACTATCTTCTATAAATAAGTTTCCTTCAGACACATAAAGAGACTTCATTGTCAAAAATCTTCTCATGAAAGAAACTTGTCAATGACAAGCTTCAAGAACAACAGTGATATCAAAAGGAATCTTTGATATGTGAAAGAAATGGTTAGAAAAGGCAGTAGTAATTAAGTGAATAAATGTAAACAAATACAGACTTACTTTTAAAAGTTAAATGGTAAAAATATTTGGTGTGTAAGGTTAAGAAAACATAAAACCAAATTATTGGCAAAAATATAAATCAAGTAGGAGTTATCAGCCTTAAATGCTCCAAAGTCCTTAACTGGTTAACTTTAGATTTTAAGAATGCATGCTGAAATTTCTAAGGTATCCATTTAAACAAGCCCAGAACTATAATGTGTAACTTCCAAACTAATAAAGGGTAAAAACCTGATTAAAATAAATAAATAAAATCATTCCTTTTTTTTTTTTTTTTTTTTTTTGACAGTGTCTCGCTTTGTCACCCAAGCTGAAGTGCAGTGGTGTGATCTGGGCTCACTACAAACTCTGCCTCCTGAATTCAAGCGATTCTCATACCTCAGCCTCCAGAGTAGCTGGGATTACAGGTGTCCGCCACCACGTCTGGCTAATTTTTCTATTTTTGTAGAGAAGGGGTTTCACCATGTTGGCCAAGCTGGTCTCAACCTCCAGGCCTCAAGTGATCTGCCCGCCTTGGCCTCCCAAAGTGCTGGGATTACAGGCGTGAGCCACCATGCCTGGCCAGAAAGTAATTCTTAAAGAAAGAAATAGGGAGATAAGGGGTGATGAAGAAAAACTGCAGCATGCAAAAAGGACAAAATAAGATTGTAGTGGAAACTAAGTGCAAACATGTGTAATCACAACCAAAGTAAGACGAGTAAATGCTACATTTTAAAAAGATAAATATTGTCCCACTAAACTAAAAAAATAAAAAAAAGAGCTCTCTCCCATTTGAAATGTACAAACCTGAAATCAGAGACAGAAATGACAACAGTAGGATCACCTGCATATCTTTGGGAATTAGCACACTTATAGATAACTCACCATCCCAATAAAAAAATCAAAATGAAAATAGAAAATACTTAGAACTGAACAATAATGAAATACTACATATGAAATTTTGTGAGATACAGAAAACCAGGTTCTCAAAAAGAAATGTAAAAAGCTTGTGTGATTAACAGAAGATACTTTGAGAAATAATGAGCTAAGTAACTGACTTAAATGAAAAAGAAATTAGAACCAAATTTAAAAAGAAGAGAAGTTAATGAAATAGAAAATAGAATTATTCAAAAATATATAGTGAGATTTATTGAGTAAAAATTGAGAGAAGGAAAAGATGTAACTGTAGATACTGCAGAGATTAGTAAGAAAATGAGATTATAAATTCATGCCTAAAATTCTGAAAATCTAGATGAGATAGAAAAAGAACTAGGAAGCTATAATGCCCAAACTGGCATGAGAAGAGAGTGAAAACCCTAAAGGGTTCTGTTAAAGAATTTGAATCAATAGTCAAATCTTCCCAAAGCACAAAAAACACAGTACGTTTAGGAATTTTCCCAGTGAGTTATAGAAAATACTCAAGGAATACATAATCAGAACATAACAAACTCTTCCCAAGAAGAGAGATCAAAACAAAGAAACAAACAAAAACTTTAAGACAGCAGTAAGCTTCAGTGTCAAATCGCTTGAGGAAAGGATAAGAAAGGAAAATTAGAGGCCAGTTTCCCTCATGATTATACATACAGTAAGTCCCCCACCCTCCCCCAAAATCTTCAAGAGTCAAATCCAGCGACATGTTAAAAAAAGGTGATGTTAAAAACATCATGAAAATGTTGTTTATCCAAGTAAACAGTTCCATGTAGAAAATCTATTAATAAAATTTGCCGCAATAAGAAATTCAACAAAAAAATCATATGACCACCTTTAAAGATATAGAAAAGGGACGCAGGTGGATCACCTGAGGTTGGGAGTTCGAGACCAGCCTGACCAGCATGGAGAAACACTGTGTCTACTAAAAATACAAAATTAGCCGGGCGTGGTGGCGCATGCCTGTAATCCCAGCTACTAGGGAGGCTAAGGCAGGAGAATCGCTTGAACCCGGGAGGCGGAGGTTGCCGTGAGCCGAGATCGCACCACTGCACTCCCACCTGGGCAACAAGTACAAAACTCAGTCTCAAAAAAAAAAAAAAAAATGTAGAAAAGGGACATTTGATAAAATTCAGTACCAATTCATAATTTTTAAGAAAAAAACAGCAAACTAGAAATAGAAGAAAACTTCCTTAACATGCTAAAGTACCTCTATAGAAAACCCAAATCAAATACATGCTTTTAAAGAGTACCACTAAGACAAGAATAACCTAATGTTGCGGTGAGGAGTCTAGCCAGTACGGTAAGATGAAAAATAATTGAAAAGTTAAAAGGACTGGAGTGGAAGAAACAGAATTTTATTTTTTAATTTATTTTTAATTTTTTTATAGACACATTCTCGCCAGGTTGCCCAGGCTAGTCTTGAACTCCTGGCCTCAGGTGATCCTCCTACCTTGGCCTCCAAAATTGCTAGAATTACAGGTGTGAGACACTGTGCTCAACCAGAAATAGAATTTCCGTTATTCACATGCTATGACTGTCCTATCTATGTCTGATAGAAAACCCAAGAATCTACAGAAAATTCATAAGCATTTAATAAGTTTAGAAAGACTGATAAATACAAAGCTTTTCAGACAAAATCAACTGAATTTCTCCATATTAGCCAACAGAAACTGTAACTTGAGAGAGAAAGGTGAGAGAGACTGTAGTAACTAAAAAATTAACATATCTAGAAACAAATCTAAAAAATATATGACCTTTATCGAAAATATTCTAAGACATTCAACAGCTAAATTAATGGAGAGATAGTTCCTATTTATGGGTAAGATGACTCAATATTATAACAAAGGCATTTTCCTCCAAGTTGATCTACAGACTTAAATGCAACCCCAAACAAAATGTCAGCAGGGTATGTTTGTGTTTTTTCTTTTTCTTTTTTTGTTGGACTTCATATATGGTATCTAAAATTTATATGGAACAGAAAGGTCCAAGAATAGTCAGTTCAATCCTGAAAAATATGATGGGTTGATATGTCCAAACTCTATCAATCTTTATTTTAAAACTACAGAAATTCAGGTAGTATGGCATTGAAACATGAATAGCAGCTCAGATACAGACCTACTCATATGTGGAAAATTGGTTTATGACTGAGCAGGCATTTCAGACCAAGGGGAGATAAGAAGCCATTCAAAAAATAGCTCTGGAACAAACAGGTATTCTACATGAAGTCAGATTCCTATCTCACTCCTTATACAAAAGCCAGTTCCAGAAAGATCGAGGAATTACAGATGAAAGATGAAATTTTAAAACTGTTAGAAATAAAGATAGAAGAATTCTTTATGAGGCTAAGGTAGGAAAGAATTTCCTTTTTTGCTTTTTGTTTTGTTTTGTTTTGAGACATGGTCTTGCTCTGTTGTCTAGGCTGGAGTGCAGTGGTCCAATGTCGGCTCACTGCAGCCTTGACCTCCTGGGCTCAAGCAACCCCCCCAACTCAGCCTCCCAAGTAGCTGGGACCAGTGGTGTCTGTCACCATTGGCCAGCTAATATTTCAATTATTTGTAGTAACGAAGTACTGTTAGATTGTCCGGGCTGGTTTGAAATTCCTCAGCTCAAGCAGTCCTCCTGCCTTGGCCTCCCAAAGTAATGGGGTTACAGGATTGAGCCACCACACCTGGCCAGGAAAGAATTTCTTAAACAAGAGCCCAAAAGCAAAAATAGTGACAGAAAAGATAGATACATCGGACTTGATTGGTATTAAGAATGCTATATAAATGTGACAAGAGCAGCTACAAATTAAACCCTTTCAGCAATACAAATAACCAACAAAAATAATGACATATAAAATATAGAAAGTCCTCTTGTACGTTTATAGAAAAATACAATTTAATAATTAAAAAGAAGTCCAAAGCCATGCACTGTCATTTCACAGAAGAAAACAAAAGGTTAATATATGAAAAGTATTCAATGAAAGTAATGGTGGAGTGAAAACTCTCCTACAGTGATAGTATGAGTGTAAATGAAGGCAAACACTTTAAAAACTGCCCAGTAAAGGTAAAGATACACATACTTTATCAACCTACAATTCCACTGCTAATTAACATACCCAAGAGAAACTCTTGCACACATGCATCAGGAGACACGGATAAATGCTTCCAGACTGGGATTATCTGCAATTCCTTAAATGCCCATGGACAGAGAACAGATTGATTGTGCCACATCCCCTACTGGAAGACCACATATTGGTAAAAAGAAATTATGGTGATACAAATCAACAAGAATGAATTTTACACATTTAATGTTGAGCCAAAAAAGCAGTCTCAAAAGAACACCTTGATTATTCTACTTAAATAATGGTTTGAACACAGAAAAACTAACCAGTATGTCATGTAGAAAATAAATATAGATGGTAAGACATAATGTAATGAACAGGAAGGGAGTGGGAAACACCACATTCAGCATAATGATAAACTCTGATAGAGGGGGTTGAGGTAGGAGGTGGGGGTCTCGGACACCCGACCAGACTGAGGACTAGTTAAAACAGGGCCCAGGGGAAAGCAGCTTTCAATCAGACACGCCCACCAGTGTGCCATGTCAATTTACCATTGCCATGGCAACACCCAGGCGTTACCACACCTTTCCGTGGCAATGACCCAATGATTACTACTTCTCCCTTAGAGATTTCTGCACGAATAGCCCCTTAATCTGCATGCAATTGAAAGTGCGTATGAATACGACTGCAAAACTCCCCTCAGCTGTTACTCTCTGCCTACAGGGTAGCCTTGCTCTGCAGGGGCAGTAGAGGAGCTGTAACACTTCTTCAGTAAAGCTGTTTTCCTCTCCCTCTGGCTTGCCCTTGAATTCTTTCCTGGGCAAATCCAAGAACTCAGTGGGCTAAGCTCCACTTTGGGGCATCTCTGCTCTGAATCAGGGTAGCCTGGGGAAGGATAACATGAAAGCTTTCAAAGCTATTAGTGACACTCTGTATCTGTAATTGTGGAGGTGGGTACATGAGTTTTTTTTCTTTTTATCCCACTATAATAAATACTCTTATATATTATTTAATTTTTCAAAAAAAATTGAGAAGACAAGATGACATCCTATTTTCAATAAATTTTTATTATATAGGGATATATTTGTAGTCAACACCTGCAGAAAAATGTTATTACATATTGATCTCAAATTATAGCAGATTTATCAGTAAATAAGAGAAAAAACTCTTTCCAGTAATCATGAGGTCATGTCATTGCATTTTATTCTTCAGCTGTATTCCCATATTACAAAAGCAAATGGAATAATCCAATAGTCTGCACATGGAGGGGGGAATATTAGACATTTGTATGTCTTATGCTTGAGTCCTTTATGTTACTATATATTCTCTTCCCTAATTATTCCCAAAATTGCAATAATCAAACTTCACATGGACCAAGAATTCAGGACATTTGCTTGTGGAATACATATAAGGTGAATTTTAATATATAGAGTTAATTTTACTTGAAAGATACCCCAGTGTATTTATAATTTCATCTTTATGTAACAGAACAGCTTTGCAGGAACTGGGCTTGAAGGGACCGTTGCTTATGGCAGGACACAGAAAGCCCTGGCAACTGCTAGTCAGGAACTTGGCTTCCTACAGGGGGAATTCTTTCTCCTGGCAGAGACCACCTCCTACTATATCTTCCTCCGGCCCATGCCTTGGTAACCTACTGCACCAAACAGAAAGTTTCTAAAAAGAGCTCTTCACGTTATCTCCACCCCAAACTATTTAATCATTACTTTTCACTAAAGAGTGTCATAATGCAACCAAAAGTCATTCTACATATCACTCACTACACTGGGAATGGAGACATAATTGACAATCCTGATTCCTCACTGAGGTCACATGTAATTGTAGAGACAAGACATAACCCCATAAAACAGGTAAGATAAAGGATAAAGATGGCAAAATATGATGACCTCCAAACGTTTAGGATTCCATTCACACACTTCCTATCACTCAGATCATGTGATTCATTCAGTCCACACATATTTATTATGCCTCTACAAAGAAATTAAATTTTAAGTGTTGGCCAGGCGCAGTGGCTCACGCCTGTAATCACAGCAATTTGGGAAGCCAACATGGGTGGATCACCTGAGGTCAGGAGTTTGAGACCAGCTTGACCAACATAGTGAAACCCCGTCTCTACTAAAAATACAAAATTAGCTGGGTGTGGTGTCGCATGCCTATAATCGCAGCTACTTGGGAGGCTGAAGCAGGGGAATCACTTGAACGTGGGAGGTGGAGGTTGCAGTGAGCTGAGATCCGCCATTGCACTCATACTACAGCCTGGGTGACAAGAATGAAACTCCATCTTAAAAAAAATTTTTTTTGAAGTGTCAACAGGCCATTCCTCAGTCCCAGGTACGCCAAATTGTACATGTTTGGCAAGAGAAACAAATAACCCAATATGCTGTGAAAAAGGCTGTAAGAGGAATACACAAACAAGTTATTTGGGGTGGGAGGTGACGAGTGAGGAGAGATGGAAAGTTGATGAGAAAGAGCAATAGCATGCTAGACCAGGAGATGTGTCCATGGAATCTTAAACCTTTGGGCAGGAAAAAGTTCTGCTGCTGCAAACATTTCATATATCATTTATTTTTCTAAGAAGCCAGAAAAATGGCAAATGGTTTCTTTTTAATCCAGGGAAAAAGGACAATCGGGCATCCGTAGGTTACCCTTCTGCAACCCACAGGTGGGATTCCCTCAAGAGAGCTACTGAATGTTCTAGCTATCTAAATGGAATAGATCATCCAGGCAAGAATAAACAGGAATCAATATGGAGATTGTATCTGATAGAAGTTAGCACAAGATAAAGCAACTCAGAAAGTCACAGACTAGTAAACCAACCTAAGGCAGGCGACCAAACCAAACCACAGAAAAGATTAGCTCCTACTATCTGCTGAACTTGAAACGGTCTTTTGGTTTTGTTCATGTTCGTCTAGACCATTACAAAATCTTAAAACGGAACATCAAAATCGCTAATCACTGACAACTGTTTAAACTAGAACATGCTTAACAGCTATAGCACAAGAAAGTATTTACAGTAGTGTATATTTGCCCAACCTCTGCTTCGACACTAGACTAAACACTACAGCTAAACCCAGAACTCTAAGAATTTATGTGGTGATCTCCTCAAGTATCTGAGAGCAAAGGAATACACCCCAACGTTCCATAGTTCTTCAAGCATCAGCCACTCTAAAAGGAAAAAGGCTGGGCTTATTAGCAAGAGATTCTTGTACTTTGTATACCCTTAGGATATATAGGTTTGTTTCAGAGGCCTGTGGAGACCCTGGAAATATAAGCCAAGCTGTTTAGATATAAGCTATTTTTTGGAGAAGGCTCACAGATTCATATCATATATTCAAAGATATTCATGAGCCAGAAAAAAATAACCACTTAAAAAACCTTTTAAAAATACCATACTGGGCCAGGCACGGTGGCTCAGGCCTGTAATCCCAGAACTTTGGGAGGTTGAGGTGGGTGGATCACCTGAGGTCGGGAGTTTGAGACCAGCCTGACCAACATGGAGAAACTCTGTCTCTACTAAAAAATACAAAAAATTAGCCGGGTGTGGTGGTGCATTCCTGTAATCCCAGCTACTCCGGAGGCTGAGGCCAGAGAATCACTTGAAATTGGGAGGCAGAGGTTGCAGGGGGCCAAGATTGCACCATTGTACTCCAGCCTGGGCAACAAGAGTGAAATTCTGTCTTAGAAAAAAAAAAACAAAAAAACAAAAAAAACCACACTGGTAATATTACAATGAACATTTTTCAGCCAAGGAAACAAAAAAAAAAAATATGTATTTCAGAGAAATTTAAAGAAAAATGTCAAGGGCTAAGATTATTGAGTACCTGTTTTTCTAACTTGAATTGATAGATTTTCTTGGACCAGAGTTAACAAGGGCTAATGGACCTTTACTAAGATGAAGATATTTTACATACATATGAATTTTTTGGGGAAAAATTATTCAAATTCCTCTCCTAAAAAATACATTTCCTTCTTTTGTATTTTATCAAGTCATTCATCAAAAGTATAATATTAATAACAAATGGTTCATGTTTGGTAAACTTTAATTTCTAGAATATTTAGGAAAAAATTTAAAGTATTATTTTCAGGCATAAACATGACTATGGTTTAAATTTTTTTAAAAAATTATTTTCAGTTCTTCTTGTATTTCCTGGAACCCAAATTCCTACAGATAATGGTCCAACTCGAATGTTTAACTAAATTCTAGACTGAAGATGGTCATATAAGTAGAGTAATAACTTCAATTAGCTGACTGTGATGGCTAATTTTATGGTCAACTTGATTGCACCACAGGGTGCAAATTTAAACAATATTTCTGGGTATGTCTGTGAGGGTGTTTGG
Organism: Homo sapiens; assembly: GCF_000001405.40. Taxonomy (NCBI): domain Eukaryota; kingdom Metazoa; phylum Chordata; class Mammalia; order Primates; family Hominidae; genus Homo; species Homo sapiens. Next base: position 18,420,656 of record NC_000010.11, on the reverse strand, counting down.
GGTGAAATTAGCATTTGAATTGGTGGACTGAGTAAGTTGACTGCCTTCTCCAATGTGGATGAGCTTGATCCAATCTGTTGGGGGCTTGAATAGAATACAAGGTAGAAGAAGGAGGAATTCACTCATTTTTCTTTCTGCCTGCCTGCTTGTGGTGAGACATCCATCGATCTTTTCTCTGCTCTTGGAGCTGGAATTATACCATCAGCCTTCCTGGGTCCCCAGTTACAGTTGGCAGATCAGATCATGGGATTTCTTAGCTTCCATAATCATGTGCACCAATTTCTTATAATAAATCTCCATATACTTCTCTCTCTCTCTCTCTCTCTGTGTGTGTGTGTGTGTATGTGTGTTTATCTCCTATTAGGTCTGTTTATCTGGAGAACCCAGACTAATACACAGACTTCTACTTAAAGAATAGATCTTGGTTTCATAACAAAAGATTAATGCTGGAGTATACATTCATCAGTGTATTAGGCTGAGATGAAACATTCAAGTTTTGGCTATGTCCTTTGGTCACAGGCATCCTAACCAGAGTGACTCCATCTTGAACAAAGGCCAGATAAGGCCAAACTGGCTGGGTTACATTCCCAGGGGGTTGGGCACGCCTGGTCATAAGATACTTACAGTTGAGGGAACGAGTTAATGATGCTAACTAACTAAATAAAAACCTAGAACTTATAGAAATGTCCTGATATTTTAAACAGAAAAAACATTCTTAGTTTAATAAGAAGTTTTGCTTTAGAGATAGTAGTGCATTCCTAAATTCTTGCTGAAATCAATATTAACATAGGAAAATAACAATACTAATAGCCTGTCACAGCTGATCACAAGCTTTTGTAATAAAGTACACTATTCTTAACCTTAATAACCCATATAAGCCAGCATTCCATTTAAGATAGGGACATTCCTCCCCTTTCTTTCTGAGGATGCTCTACTCTGTAATACAGCAGTTGCTAATAAATTGTTTTAAATATATTCTGTGACTTTCCCTGAATTCTTTCCCATGTGACATTCAAGAACCCGCTCTTGGGGTCTGGACAAGACCCCTTTTCCAGGTACACCTTTATTGGACTTTTGATCATTTGAATAAGAGGGTCCTGACTCAACTACCACCCCTGAAACTCCAATTCAGTAGATGGACCATGTGGTAAAATGGACACTAGTTCATAACCTTAGTCCAATCATAGCTGTGTGACTAGGGCTCCGTGTCACCTTCTCTCTCTCTCATTTTAAAGTAAAGAGTTGAAGAGAATGGTTGTGTACATTATAATACAGTTACTATTGCATTTTCTATGTCTTACCTAACATACACCACAGTGTCAGGGATCCATGCAAGTATGCTGAATACAGCACCTGGAGATTTTTACTTATTAAAGGGTTTCTATACTCCATTTTGCATATCCATTATGTGACCTATTGAATCCTCAGGCTACTTAAACTCATAGAATTAAGCAAGTCACAGTACGCTCAGAGGAGAAGCAAGTAGTTCTTCCCATCTAGTTCAACCACGGTAACTTTCCTTGTTCTGTCATAGCCAAAGAGCTTTAGATTGTCACAGCCAAAGATCTCCTTTAATTCTGCCTGGGGATGAGTGTCACTGAGTTGCCTCATAAAGGATCTTGAAACTTAACCCTCAACTGTAAGGAATGTAGGTTGACTCAAATGTAAGCTTACAACTGATCCAATAAATATTTCATTCAGGGATGATTACAGTTCCTCTAAGAAGACAAAGGGATAGTTGGTTGTTTAAAAATCCAGGGAATGAAACGAGAAAGCCAAAGACGAGAAGATTAGACTGTACATTTTTGCCTACTTCCTGTTGAATTCACTTCCTGTCCAGTCTAGGGAGGGCAGGATGAGACCATGATACTGGTGTCAAATATTCAAGAACTGACGCCCTGATGCCCTGTGGTCAGAACACATTTATAGACCAAAAAAAAGGGAAGTGACATACAGAAATCGGCAGTGAGGTACAGAAATAGCTGGACTGGCTACATATTGGCGTTTGTCTTATTTGAACACAGTTTGAACACTTAGCAGTCTGTGAGTGGTTGAAGTACGGCCGCTGGGATTGGCCAAGACTCAGTTACTGTTACAGGCACATACTTCCAAGTTAGGTTTTCAATCTTATCTGCCTATTAAGCTAGATTACAGTTCATCCACGAGGACTCAAATGTAGAAGTAAGGAGGCCTTCTCAGGCCATATTTAGTTTGCTTTAACATGTGTTAATCCTGCAAATATCAATTGAAATAATTTTTAGTAGGAAATCAGAATAAACAACTGACAGCGGATTGTGCGATTCATTTTCCTTCCTTAAAAATGGAGTTTAGTAAGGCGGGTGGATCACGAGGTCAAGAGATCGAGACCATCCTGGCTAATATCGTGAAACCCCATTGCTACTAAAAATACAAAAATTAGCTGAGCATAGTGGCGTGCGCCTGTAGTCCCAACTCCTCGGGAGGATGAGGCAGGAGAATCGCCTGAACATGGGAGGCAGAGGTTGCAGTGAGCCAAGAGGGCGCCACTGCACTCCAGCCTGGCGACAGAGCGAAACTCCATCTCAAAAACAAACAAATAAACAAACAAACAAAAAACCACAACCCTGCACTCCTGCACTACAGCAGTCTCCTAATCTTCCTTTATAACTCGTCTTCATGTTTCTCTAGTCAATTGTTACATCTAACTTTATATTTTTGGCTGCTGTAATTTTTAGTTTGTTCCTTTCGTTTTTTTCCCCTTACGAATAGGCAACACTTAATAAAATCTTTTTTTAAATCGTTTCATTTTAACTTCAATTTTCTCTTCCTTGCTCTATTTAAATTTTGTTTCTTCAGCATTCTTCATACAATCTATTTCCTAGATATTTGATTATTTTTCCATTTCTCTACAGGAAAAGGCATATTCAAATAGTATTAAGTACGTTCCATTTGTATCTCCATTTAACCATGAAAAGGATATACACAGACATCCTGGAAGGTCTTCCTTTAACTAACAACATATTAAATTCAAGAATTTTTATCTCCACTTCGGGAGGCCAAGGCAGGTGGATCACTTGAGGTCAGGAGTTTGAGAGCAGCCTGGCCAACATGGTGAAACCTGTCTCTACTAAAAATACAAAAATTAGCCGGGTGTGGTGGTGTGTGCCCGTAATCCCAGCTACTAGGGAGGCTGAGGCAGGAGAATCGCTTGAACCCGGGAGGCAGAGGATGCAGTGAGCCGAGATCGCGCCACTGCATTCCAGCCTGAGCAACAACAGTGAAACTTCGTCTCAAAAAAAAAAAAAAAAAAAAAAAAAGAATTTTTAGCTCAAGATTTTTGTTTAAATAATGTTGAAGTGTAAAAATTGACTTGTTTCACATCAATGGTGTAATGACAATAAACTAAACTTTAAAAAGCAGGACAAAAGGTGAGTTTTTTGCTTGTAAACTCTATCCAGACTCAACAGCAAAAAAAAATTGCACGAAGATGTTTATACTTTTAAAATCGTCTTAATAGCTGCCCTGCTTTATTTTTGCTTTTATAGTTAAAGAGAAAAAAAAAAGCTTTTATTTCCTTAATCTCTCTAGAGCATGAAACAAAGAGGAAACATTAATGCATTCTCAGCTGGTGTCTTTTTTTTTTTAATGCACTTTCTGCTTTCATAAGCCTGTGTCTTTCTAAAAGCAGCTCCTTGATGAGGTGAAAGAACATTAAAAAAAAAAAAATGAGGCAGAAGCCTGGGTCCTTGCCCTAATTCTGCCCCTTATGAGCTCAGTGAGCTTGGGCAAGATCCTTCAGTATCCACCATCAGTTTGCTCATCCATAAAATGGGGTAACTATATCTGCTTCCACTTCCCTACTTAGTACTTGTTAAAGACCAAGCAAAACAATACAACGGGAAGTTAAACACTGAGCCGCTGTGAAACATACGCTATAGTTCCTGCTTGCTGACAGTCCACCTTGACAGGCTCATTGAAAAAAAGTTGAAGATTTAAAGAAAACTTCGGGAGGCTGTGGCTGGTGGATCACCTGAGGTCAGGGGTTCAAGACCACTCTGGCCAATATGGCAAAACCCTGTCTCTACTAAAAAAAATTAGCTGGCCATGATGGCGCACACCTGTAGTCCCAGCTACTCAGGAGGCTGAGGCAGGAGAATCCTTTGAACCCAGGAGGTGGAGGTTGCAGTGAGCTGAGATCGTGCCAATGCACTCCAGCCTGGGTGACAGAGTGAGACTTTGTCTCAAAAAACAAAGAAGCAAACAAAACTTTATAGCATTATTCACAGTAGCCAAGAGGTGGAAGCAGCCCAAATACCCATTGACAGATAAATGGATAAAGAAATGTGGTCTATACATGTAATGGAATATTACTCAGCCTTGAAAAAGAAGGAAATTCTGTCACATGGGACAACATAGATGAATCTTGAGGATATCATGCTGAGATAAGCCAGTCACAAAGGGACAAATATTGAACACATGGAGATAAAGAGTGGAAAAATAACAGACTGAAAAGGGTGAGTGGGGGGTGCAGGGAGGAGGAAGAGAGGTGGGTTAAAGGGTACAAACATACAGTAAGATGGAAGGAATCAATTCAGTGTTTGACAGCAGAGTAGGATGACTATACTCAACAAAACTGCTGTACTTGGGTGACGGACACTCTGAGTCCCCTGACTTGATCATTATGCATTATATACCTGTAAAAAATGTCTTAGCTACCCCATAAATTTGAGCAAATAAAAAAAAAATTGTAGCATGGTAGTTGTCTGGGGCTGAGGCAGGGCAGGGTGATAAGGAATTGTTCAGATGATATAGAGTTTCAGATTTGCAAGATGAAAAGATTCTAGGCATCTGTGGCACAACAGTGTGAAATACTTCATACAATTGTACACTTACGAATGGTTATGAGGATGAAAAAATGCTTGGGCCATTAAGTAAATTGCGAATTGAGATTTAAAATGAAAATAATCTAAAATGGCAGGCGTTGTTGGACCCCATAGTTAGCAATCATCTTGCTAACCTTAGAGAGAATCACATTGCTGGTTAACGTAGGCTCTGCCTCCAGAGGGTCAGTCACTAACAGTGGGGGCTTATATAATTTAAAGTGCCCTTCTCTGGTCATCAGCACTGCCTTCTCCAGCAGTGTTGGGGTCCACCCATTTGCCATTTGGCTCATAATGCTTTTTTTTTCTTTTCTTTGTTTTTTTTTTTTTAAGAGACAAGGTCTTTCTGTGTCATGCAGGCTGGAGTATATTGGTGCAGTTATAGCTTATTGTGGCTTCTAACTCCTAGGCTCAAGCAATCCTCCTGCCTCAGCCTTCTGAGTAGCTGGAACTGCAGGCATGTACCACCATACCTAACTATTTTTGCTTATTTTTTGTAGAGATGAGATCTCACTGTGTTGCCCAAGCTGATCTCAAACTCCTGGCCTAAAGCTTTTCTCCCACCTCAGCCTCTCGAAGTGCTGAGATTACAGGCATGAGCCACCATGCCAAGCCTACAGTGCTTTAAGTCTGATAGCTACCACATTACTCAGTGATACACATTTTTAGCATGACCATTAGACCATGAGCTTCTTGAGGAAGAAACCACCACATCTAACACATCTTCAATTTCCCTTCCTTAAATTCCAACTCGATAGCATGATACCACTCATCAAATGTTTGCTAATTAAATACATTCTACTTTTTTCCACAGTTTTCAACATCTTTTATGTAGCCATTGATGGGGCAAAAACTTGTAAGAACAGAGAGGGTTGACTGTTTTAAGCTCTGCGTAAAAGTCTTCATGTCGTTCCCTGTTAACATCTGGTGGAGAAAAAGGGAGGGAAGAACTGCATATTTATTGCTGTGTTTACAATGATACAACAAAGACATTCAGTTATAGTGCTCTAAGATAAAAAAAAAAAGCTTGAACTGCAATTTATAATAATCCTTCCTTAATCTATTTATGGTTTTAAAATAGCCAGAAGTCTATGAGAGCAGCCTGGCCAACCTGGTGAAACCCCATTTTTGCTAAAAATACAAAAATTAGCAGGCTGTGGTGGTGCACACCTGTAATCCTAGCAACTTGGGAGGCTGAGGCAGGAGAATTGCTTGAACTCGGGAGTCAGAGGTTGCAGTGAGCCGAGATTGTGCCACTGCGCTCCAGCCTGGGTGACAGAGATTCTGTCTCCAAAAAAAAAAAAAAAAAAAAAAGGTAGTAGTAACAAGGATTCTGGAACCATCAGGTTCCTTTTAAAACATGTGACTGTTACCCATAAGAAAGTTAAAACTAGCTTAACAGGTCGATTGCCAAGATAAATATAACCATAAATAAACAGAGAGCAATGTGTAATTTTGTTCCCAAGTACTTGGTGTTACTCAGAAAAGAGCCTGTGAGAGGAGCAAGAGAGAGTTCAATTGCTCTTGATAACTCAGGCAGAGATCTGCACCCATGTGACTAAGAGGCAGAAAGCACATCTCAAAGTTAGAGTACAGGAGACAAGGCCCATGCCTTCGTCACTGGGATGGGTGGGGATGCAACCTGACCTGCCATGGCAACTGCTGTGAGATCAAGCAAGTGTGTCAATGCCAGTCATATCCCAGGCAGCTCTGCAGTCCCTGGACATCTCAAATCTACCTTACAGCAGTCACCAACAAGTGACAAACAACTAAGCTGATAGTGACCATGTAAAATAGTGTAAGACCGCACATAACTACAGAGGAGGCAAAGACACTTGTTTCATTACTTTCCATTCAGATTCCTCACAACACCCTGAACTGCTCCACGGCAGGTGCTGTGTGCCCCAGTTGCCTGTGCCCATCACAAGGGCTAGAGTAGGGAAAGACAGGTCCAGGAACCTTGTGCTTTATACGTAACAGCTTATTCAATTATCACTGGAATCCTGTCAAACAGAGGTTAGTGTCCTTTTACAAATGGCAAAACTTAGCTTCACCTGTAATTTATCAAAAAGTCAGGCAGCCATTCCATGGCAGAGATGGAATCCAAATCCAGGTTTCTGAGCAGTTGCATAGAGAATGCATGACCCCTGCCCCTGCAATATTTCCCTTCTGATAATTCCCAGGAAAAGATTTGTTGACCCTTCGACGAAGGTTTCAGATTTGGAAGGATGGAGGTAATGAGAATGGAAATGGAAAATGCAGAGAAGAAAGGGTTTAAAGGAAAAGACTGGGAGCTCAATTTTAAGTGGGTGGCAGAACCGACAGAGATCCAAAAAGAGGACCTGAGATCCAAGCACTAGGGAGAGAGGCGAAGACCAAAGACACTAACTATAAGTGACGGCTGAAGCCTGGAGAAGTATGAGAGAATAGAAGGGAAGATGGCAGTGGTTTAAAGCTCGCTCCTGAGGTGAAACCCTTCATTCAAAGGAAAATGCACATAAAGGTCCCAATACATAAAATATGTGTGGCTGGGCACAGTGGCTCATGCCCGTAATCCCAGCACTTTGGGAGGTTGAGGTGGGTGGATCACCTGAGGTCAGGAGTTCGAGACCAGCCTGGTCAACAGGGTGAAGCCCCATCTCTACTAAAAATACAAAAAATTACCTGGGTGTGATGGCATGTGCCTGTAATCCCAGCTACTTGGAAGGCTGAGGCAGGAGAACGACTTGAACCCGGGGGGCAGAAGTTGCAGTCAGCTAAGATCGTGCCACTGCAATCTAGCCTGGGTAATAAGAGTAAAACTCCATCTCAAAAAATAAAAAATAAAAATACAACACAATAAAATAAAACATGTGAAGGTAGCATTGTTCTGGCTGAATCCTGGGTACAACGCACAGACCACAGCCTGCTGGGCATCCCTAAGCCTCTGCAGTGACTCCAGAAGAATCCATGGATCTCTTGGGGCTCTACAGAGCTCAGTCTGGAAACCAATGACATGCCTAAAGCAACAAACATCAGGAGGCCAAGGCCTGAGCATTTGGTTGAATGGACTTCCACATTTCAGGTGAGGGAACTAAAAGTCGAAACAGAAGAGACTGAACAGGAACCACCAGAGTGGTAGTAGAAGTAGACTTTGTGTGTACCAGCACCTGCAAGACAAAAGTGACTTAGCAGAGAAGAAAAACAAATTGAAGTTTGCAGAGATGTCAAGGGGAGGTTTAATAAAAGGTCAGTGGCTTTGTGATTAGGAAGTCACTAGAGACCCTCAGTAAAGAGATGGAGACAGAAATCAGTTTCACGGTGTTAAAGAGTAAGTAGGGAAGAAATTGAAGCAGGAGAATAAAGCCTGGGGTGATAAGGTTGGCAGTAGAAAGAAGGGAAAAAAATAGGACAGAAGGGAGGACAGCGTTGTTTATTTCACAAGGCATGCAGATATTTCTTCTTCCAAAGGGGTAAGGAAGAAAAAAGATGAATGTGGCAGGTTGTTTGCAGAAAGTGGTTGCAACATATCCCACCTGAATCCACACCCTTGGTAATTCCCATTTGACTCCAGGCTTAGGCCGGTGACTTGCTTTGGCCAATGGGACATTAGCAAACATGACATAAGTAGAGATATGATTATCACCCCCTTGGAGCTTGCTCTCTCATGAAGCAGCCCTGGGACCAGCATGCGAACCCTAGCCAGCCTGTTGGAGGATAAACAACCATATGGAAGAGAACGAGACACACATGCTGACAGCTATCAGCCTCCAGACACATGTGACAAGCCATCCCAGGTCACCTGGTCACCAACTAACCAGAAAGCTGGCCAGGGATGTGTGGCAGAGAAGTGTAACCTAAATAAAATGGTGACTTAATGCCACTAGGCTGAGATCTGTTTGTTTTGCAGCAAGAACTTCGAGAGTAAGGATTTTGCTGATAGTGTAGTCATCAGTGCTGTATGTATTGTAAGGTCATGACTGCTCAAATATATTTCTACATGCTTAAAGAGGCTGGGCACAGTGGCTCACGCCTGTAATTCCAGCACTTTGGGAGGCCGAGGCAGGCAGATCACTTGAGGTCAGGAGTTCGAGAACAGCCTGGCCAACATGGTAAAACCCCATCTCTACTTAAAATACAAAAATTAGCCCACATGGTGGCAGGTGCCTGCAATCCCAGCTACTCCGGAGGCTGAGGCAGGAGAATTGCTTGAACCCAGGAGGCAGAGGCTGCAGTGAGCCAAGATGGTGGCACTACACTCCAGCCTGGGCAACAGAGCGAGGTTCCATCTCAAAAAAAAAAAAAAAAAAAATGCTCAAAGACACAAATTTTGCCTTTTCCTTTTATATCTTTCAAATTGTCTATAATGAGCAGTGATTGGGCATTAAGTGCTATTACTGTTGTCATTATTAATATTATCATCAATTAACATTAGAGGTGAGTGGAAGAACGACAGTACCAATGTGTGTGATTGTTACCTACCCAGTCATAAGTATATGTCAACAGGGAAGAGAAGCCTAACAGAGGTCCAGCGGGCTTCTGCACTCTTTTTATTTATCACAGGTAGAAAAACGCAATCTAAGCTAATGCGTATTTGAACAATAAACAAACGCATGCGGCTAGAAATTAGACATATTCAGCCAGTTTTCTAACTATACTTGAAAGGTACATGCTTATAAGCAAAGAGTTGACAATTTTTTAAAGCAAGAAGCATGAAAATGTACATTGTGAAAATAATTTCAGCCTAAAATATTTTAATAAGAATGTGTGACATATTTTGTGCTTGCGTTTTTCATAAGGTATCGCTGCTGGATTTTTATCTTTCTTTTTTATTTTTTTTAAATGGAGTCTTGCTCTGTCGCCCAGGCTGGAGTGCAGTGGCGTGATCTCAGCTCACTGCAACCTCTGCCTCCTGGGTTCCAGTGATTCTCTTGCCTCAGTCTCCAGAGTAGTTGGGATTACAGGTGCCCACAACCATGCCTAGCTAATTTTTGTATTTTTAGTAGAGATGGGGTTTCACCATGCTGGCCAGGCTGCTCTCAAACTCCTGACCTTGTGATCCACCTGCCTTGGCCTCCCAAAGTGCTGGGATTACAGGCATGAGCCACCGCGCCCAGCCAACACATTTTTTTTTTCCCCATAAGTAGCCCTCTAGTTTCACACCTGCCACCTATTCTCTGGATTCTCCAGTAGTCTATCTTGTAGGTTTAAGAACATACGCATTATAGACATATGTGTATATTTCTCTCCTACCTCCCATATAATGTTCACAATAAGACATATTTTTAAAACATGTTTAATATTTTTTTGAAATAAACTATCTTCAGGCTGATGGGACGTAAACATGTTCATGTTTCTTCTTTCTTCTTCAAAGGCTAGTTAGGGGAATTCTCTCAATCTGTAAGGCATTTATGAACTAAGGCAAGATGAGAAATATTTTTTCTTTTTTGTAGTATGTTTACTGAAAACTACTGGGAACAAAACATGGTCAACTGAACTAATGCTTCCTCCTGAAAATATGTTTTTAGAAAAAGTATAAACCCACAAATACTAAGAACAGGAAACCAGATGAGAGTATGTGGAAACATAGAATATAGAACACAATGAACAAGCACTAATTAACTAGCAGAGTAGAAAGTGTTAGAATAAGAGTACCTGCAAGAGGCGGGCAGGACGGCTAAGGAGTAGAAAGCTGATTGCAGCTGCAGGGCCCTGGCAAGGAGGTGGAACTGGAGGTAACAGGCACCTCTGAAGGATGAAGTATGGCTGGGGCTGAAAACAGCACTGACTGGACATTGGACTTATCAGAATCCACTTTCTCTCTCCCCTCACTTCCAGAAGACCAAAGGTTTATTCTCTGGAGAGGATGACCAGGAGATTTCAGACAATCAGAAGGATAGCTGAGAGTAAAGGCGAGTGACATACTGAACATAGGAGGATTAAATAATTATAAGATCTCCATCCTAAGTGATGAAACTCTAGCCACCTTTTCTTGGACAACTGCCAAAAGCCTGTGAGCGGTCCAATAGAGCAAGACAGGAGACTGGGGGAGTCCTCTCTGGGGCATTGGCCAGATTAAAAGATAATGGTGCCCACTCCTACCAGTTCTTCAGTCCCTCCCCAATTACCCTATACAAGATGACCTGTCAAGAAGCTTTGCCACTGCATTTGGAGCTTCCAATCAGCTTTACAATGTCTTCCTCTTAATTATGAATAGATGATCAAAAATTAAACATTGTCCAGAGTCAGACAGAGTCTCAGCCCAGCGGATGGCCTTTCCCGAAACTTCAAGCCTTCAGGCTTTCTTTTAGTCAAGATAAGTGATAAGCTGAACTTGTTGGAAGTAGAGAAGTTTGACAGGTCAAAACTGAATGAATAAACTCCAGGGCACAGTGGTTCATATCTGTAGTCCCAGCAGTTTGGGAGGTTGAGGCAGGAGGATTACTTGAGCCCAGGAGTTCAAGACCAGGCTGGGCAACATAAGGAGACTTTGTCTCTACTTTTTTTTTTTTTTTTCCTGGAGACAGAGTTTCCCTCTTGTTGCCCAGGCTGGAGTGCAATGGCACGACCTCGGCTCACTGCAACCTCCGCCTCCGGGTTCAAGTGATTCTCCTGCTTCAGCCTCTGGGATAGCTGGGCTTACAGATGCACAACACCACACCCAGCTATTTTTTTTGTATTTTTAGTAGAAACGGGTTTCACCATGTTGGCCAGCCTGGCCTCGAACTCCTGACCTCAGGTGATCCATCTGCCTTGGCCTCCCAAAGTGCTGAGATTACAAAAAAAATTTTAAAAAATGTTAGCGAGGCATGGTGGCGCATGCCTGTGGTCCCAGCTATTCTGGAGGCTGAGGTGGGAGGATCACTTGAGCCCAGGAGCTCGAGGATGCAGTAAGCAGTAATCATGCCACTGCAACTCCAGCCTCAGCAACAGAGTGAGACCTTGTCTAAAAAAATAATAATAAACAAACCTGAAGAAAACTAGTAGTAAGAAAAAATACTCTTCCCTTGAAGAAAAAATTTGCGTCCATAATCTCATCCCTAAAGAACCTTTTATACTACAATTTTGGCCCTTCTCTATCTGATGACACGTGATCCAGCAAGAGAAAGAATGTTTTCAAACATCATGAAACTGGGATTTCCTCCCAAGAGCAAATTTCAGCACTGCCTGAGCATCTTGGTTTTAGGCTTGTGTTTTGTAAACCTATGTGTTTGTAAGAGATTTTCAACATCTTCTCATGTCTTCTCACCTATACTCCCTAGCTAAGAAGTTGGGGGTATGGCCAGGCACAGTGGCTCATGCTTGTAATCCCAGAACTTCAAGAGTCCAAGGTGGGCAGATCACTTGAGGTCAGGAGTTCAAGACCAGCCTGGCCAACATGGTGAAACTCTGTCTCTATTAAAAATACAAAAATCAGCTGGGCGCAGTGGTGCACACCTGTAGTCCCAGCTACTCGGGAGGCTGAGGCAGGAGAATTGCCTGAACCCGGGAGGAAGAGGCTGCAGTGGGCTGAGATCATACCACTGCACTCCAGCCTGGGTGACAGAACAAGACTCCATCTCAAAAAAAAAAAAAAAAAAAAAAAAAGTCAGGGATAGTGAATGTTTCCTTAAGTTCATTTGAAAACTTTTTGTTGATGTATAAATTCCAAAAGGCAGTCAATAATTTCACCTCTGATGATCTTTGTGTAGGTAGTCCTTGCACTTCCTACAGGATAACTCAGTTTTAACCCTCTACAATAGGTGCTTCCACTTCATAATCTTCATGAAGTTGCATGCTTTTGCTGCTTCTTACACTTTATTTTCACTTCAAATATATGAAATAATAAATATAGTCATTAGAAATCAAACATTTGAAAAAAGTCTCCATTATGTAAAAAGTAACATCAAATATTAAAGAAGCTTAATAAACAGTGACAGCACAGGTAACTTCAAAAAAATTAGTATCTTTAGAGACATAAGAGAAAATATTATGGCTATGGAATAAAAACAAGAAGCTATAAATGAAGAAAAGAAGAATGCTCTTGGAAATTAGACATTTTGACAAATATAATTTGAGCAGATGGGTTAGAAGTTGAGAAAAATTCAGGTACAACAAAAAGATGGAGAAAAAGTGAGAAAAATGATTACACAGAGGCTCAAATCAAATATCGCACAAACCAGAGAGCCAGTAAAAAGAGGACAATATAGGGGAAGAAATTATTCCAAAAAAAGGGGCAGTTTCCAGAACTGAACTGATCAGCCCTTCACAATGAATGCATGAGAAGCCAAGTACAATAAACAAAAAGGTGCACACCAAGGCATGTCATGTCAAAATGTCAAAATACCAAAGGAAGATCAGTTCCCAAAATATTAGAGATTTTAAAAAAACAAAAATCAAAAACTTAAAGACAGAACAGGCCGGGCATGGTGGGCCACATCTGTAAGCCTAGCACTCTGGGAGACCGAGGCAGATGGATCACTTGAGGACAGGAATTTGAGACCAGCCTGGAAAACATGGAGAAACCCTGTCTCTACTAAAAATACAAAAATTATCTGGGTGTGGTGGTGCGTGCCTGTAATGCCAGCTACTCAGAAGGCTGAGGTGTGAGAATCGCTTGAACCCGGGAGGTGGAGTTGCACTGAGCTGAGGTGGCACCACTGCACTCCAGCCTGGGCGACAGAGGGAGGCCCTGTCTCAAAAAAAAAAAAAAAAAAAAAAAAAAAAAAAGACAGAACAGCAGGTCTGGACTTTAGAAGACCATGAAGTAAACCTTCACAAATCTGCAGAAAAACATTTTTCATTCTGAATACTATAACCAGCTAATTTGTGAAGGTAGAATAAAGACATTTTCTCAAGAAACTAACCTTTCTCTGAAAGGGTCTATGTTTTCTTGCTGCACAGCCTTTACGTACACTGACCGTCGCATACACTGTATTCCAGGGCCTGGGAGGCATTTCTCTCTTCTTTACTTCCCTCTTTGTACTTCAAGAGCTAAACTTCACCTGTCCATCCTCTAAGGCAGCAGTCCTCCACCTTTTTGGCACCAGGGAAAACAATTGTTCCATGGACTGGGGTTTGGGGATGGTTTTGGGATGATTCAAGCACATTACATTGATTGTGCACTTTATTTCTGTTATTATTACATTGTAGTATATAATGAAACAATTATACAACTTACAATCATGTAGAATCAGTAGGAACCCTGAGCTTGTTTTCCTACAACTAGATGGTCCCATCCAGGGGTGATGGCAAACAGTGACAGATCGTCAGGCATTAGACTCTCATAAGGAGTGCGCAACCTCGATCGCTCACATGCATAGCTCACAAAAGGGTTTGCACTCCTATGAGAACCTAATGCTGCCATTGATCTGACAGGAGGCGGAGCTCAGGTGGTTATGTGAGCAGTGGGGAGTGGCTGTAAATATAGATGAAGCTTCCTGTCTGGCTGCTGCTGTTCACCTCCTGCTGTGTAGCCTGGTTCCTAACAGAATACGAACCCCTGCTGTGAGGTCTACTTTTAAGCCACTACCTCCTCCAAGAAGGATTTTCTCTTCCTGCCAGTAGGATGCAGTCTAAACCTGGGTGCTCACAGACCTCTCTATCCCTCCCTTCCCCACAACCTATTGTATTCCACCTTTTATGACCACAACTTTCTCCCAAAACAAACAATGGAAGCTTCTTGCAGGCAAAAGACCTGCCAATTTCTTCTTTGTGGCTCCGGCCTTGCAGTCTCTCCTATTCACCAACTGGGCCTAACATTTTCTTTAATATAGTAGATATTCGATGATAAAAGAACAATGGACTCAAGATTGAAGGTTATTCTATTCGGCTAAGAAGATCACATTGAGTCCATCGTTTTTTGTTTGTTTGTTTGTTTGTTTGTTTTTGACAGAGTCTTGCTCTGTTGCACACGTGAGAGCAAGAGATCTCAGCTCACTGCAACCTTTCCCTCCCAGCGTCAAGTGATTCTCCTGCCTCAGCCTCCCAAGTAGCTGGGATTACAGGCATACACCACCAAACCCAGCTAATTTTTATATTTTTAGTAGAGACAGCGTTTCACCATGTTGCCCAAGCTGGTCTCAAACTCCTGACCTCAGGTGATCCACCCGCCTCGGCCTCCCAAATTGCTGGGATTACAGGCATGAGCCATTGTGCCTGGCTGAGTCTATCTTATCACTGCTTCAACTCCTTCTACATCCAGATTTCCCAACTCAGAGTCCCTGTATATAGGGCAGAAGGCATCGTTTTTGAGGATCAAAGGAGAAAAGAAGAAAATCATTATTTCAATTAAAAAGAGATGATCAAGTGACCCAGCAATTTCACTCCAAAGTACATACATATGTGAAATGAAAACATACGCCCACACACAAAAAAATATATACAGGAATGTTCGTAACAGCATTACGCACAATACCTAAATGGTGAAAACAACCCAGATGTCCAAAAGTAGCCAATCACAAAAGATCACCTATGGTAAGATTTCATTTATATGCAATATACAGAATAGACAAACCTGTAGAAACAAAAGTTGAATAGTGGTTCTACGCATGGGGACAGGGAGATGGTTGGGGAGAATGGAGAGTGACTGATAACAGGCTTGGAATTTCTTTATGGGGCAATGAGAATGCTCTAAAACTGATTATAGTGATGGTTGTACACCTCTGAACATACTAAAAACCACTGAATTATACACTTTAAATGGGTGAATTATATCTCAATAAAGTTGTTTTCAAAGAGAAGATCAACGTGGGAATAAATTACATTCATATATTACTTGTCTTTAAGGTAATATCAGATAGCACAAACTGAAATGACCAGGATTTGCAAAGTATGCCATAACTGTACAACATCAAAACACACATTTGGAACCAGAAAACACCACGTTAAAAAACAATGTCATGTCAGTTGGTATTTATTGGCCTCAAAATTAACATCTAATCTGTTCACTGCAGTTTAGTGGTTAAGAAAAGCCTTAACAAAGTGGTAGTGGAGAGTAATAGGTTTATTGACAGCACAGAGTACTTCGTTATATAACCTTTTGTAGGTCACTTAAATTTTAAAAGACAGTATCTCTAGTCTCACTTCTTGCTAATCACGTTATTTCACAGAGGTATTATTAGGCAATTAGTGGATAATGTGTTTGTATTTATACAGGACCAGGATCTGAAAGCACTGCTAACGTCATCTGCACAGACTTATTTATTACATGTGATCTGTAAGGTGAGTAAAAGCACTGACTTGTAGAGTCTTTCTGTTTGAGAGATGCTTCGATGGTTACGAAGTAAATGTAGAAAATGTCTGATTCTTCCAAAATGGCTGTGCAAAGTGTTTTTAACTATTTAAAGTTAAATAGCATGAATTGTTATGTTTTTAAACTTTAAGCCTTCATTTTGAAGTAGGTTTCATTAAGGCAAGATGAAATTCTGGCAAAGAATGAGGTTATTTTTATAGATAACAATAAAAATTTATAGAGGGAACTAGCCTTCTACAATCCCTATTTTGCATTATTTCTTCAAGGATATTGGGATTAATAAACCAGACTTACCAAACCATGATTTTAATATAAAGGAAAATTCAATGCTCATCTTTGTATCTTCTTTTGAGACATATTTAAATTCTCACTTACCCTAGTGTGTCTCATTTGAATACATCAAAGGTTTAAAATATTGACCTAATTTTAAAGAAAAAATATAAATAAACTATTTTTTAAAAAATTTTATGGGTACATAGATGTGTATATTTATGAGGTACATGGGATGGTTTGATACAGGCATGCAATATGAAATAAGCATACCCTGGAGAATGGGGCATCTATCCCCTCAAGCATTTATCCTGTGAGCTACGAACAGTCCAATTACATTCTTTAAGTTATTTAAAAATATACAATTAAGTTATTATTGACTTTAGTCACCCTATTGTGCTATCAAATAGGTTTTATTCATTCTTTCTATTTTTTTTTTTTTTGGGTACCCATTAACCATTCCCATCTCACCCATTAAATAAACTATCTTGCCTTAAACATAGGAAATAGTTTTTCAATTATTTTGCCTTTGTTTTAAAGTCTCTTCATTTTCTTTTATCCTCTACATCATTTCTAACTATCATCTTTTTAGGCTGTAGGACAAGTAACACGACCCTGGTTTGATTTAGGAGCAACATTTCGATCCATGCTTGGTTAAAAGATACTTTAAAAGTTCTTTGCAGCAATGTCATCTAACTCATGACACAGCCACAGAGTCATGAACAAAAATGCCCCAATTACATAACAATTGAAAACCAAACCTACAGTCTATTGGGCTGTATCATGATGGCATATAAGCCCGAGAAACTGTTCAATTTTGGTATGTGAAACTTACATGAATAAATTAGCCGCAAATAGAACAATCTTATTTTCGGAATACAAACTGTAGTTTTTTTGTACTCTTCTTTACACACAATGCAAAATATAGAATATAGAATTCAGACTCTCAGCTGCAACCTATATTAACTACAATGCAGACTGTCATACATTATTTAATGTTCTTCATTATTTAATTTCAACTTCACAATGTTCTACGTGGCTAACATTGGTAGAGCAGATTCATTGATGGCAACTGGGCCACGTCCAGTTTTATCAGTTTCCACCATCACAAAACCCTCCCTGCATCTGCTATTTATGAACTGCCTTTCAGAGAAGACTGTCAGTCCTGGAGAAAATTTCCCTGCCAGGCGAGGTAAGAACATCATTCTGATATACAAAAGTACTGCTTTTTAGAAGTCAAGGTCTCCTGGCAGTTCCTCAGTAGACTATGATGGCAGCCGCACTAGAGGTCATGAATAATGTATTACATAAGGGCTGTCCATGCATTCAAACCAGAATCTCCTAACCACAATTCCCATAGCAACACACATAGATTTTACTCATCTCAGAGATGAGGCAGGCAGTAGAAATGCTATCCTGGTATTTCTAGCATGATCAACAAGGCACTTAGCCTTTTTCAAAACAAGTTTTTCAAAGGAAAATCAACAACCATGTTAAAATAGGTTCATTGAGAAGTGACTGAGTATCCCACAAACCAAGCCACCTTCAACTCGAACAATCTATGCTTTAGAAATAGCCACTATTCCAAGGACAGCATGGGAGAAAGAATTCAAATCACTGCAATGACTGAAATGAGACATGGCCTGAGATGAATCCTGTAACTATCTATTTCATAGCTGCTTTGCAGTCTCCCCTCCATATATACACACTTTATTAAGATGGAATGGAGAAGAACATGTTCTAAGAGAAGAAACTTTTAAAAATCAATAAAATCCTCTGTTGCTTTTGGAAAAGCATAATGTAATCCATTTTGAAAATACAGGATACTAACATAAAACACCTATGAAGTAAAATTCAGGGGAAAAACTGTTCAAGTCTAAGAAAATAAACAATAGCTTGAAGTCAGTCTGTTTTTTTTTTTTTTCTTAACAGAGATATAGTTTACTGTGGAAATGAAGTAAAACATGTTGATATTAGGTGCAGTTTTTCCTCTTGGCAAATTCAAGGATCCTTTTGTATGTGTCCAAATAAGCCATCCACCCACAGAAAAGAGTTGCTTGGATTATAAAACAACATAGAAGACCAGTCTTACATACCACACTTCCTTTTTCTACCAAGGGAAGAAACTAGGCTCCATTTTTTGTACCTTTCTAAAACCAGACAATGAAATTCTCTAATAGATCAAACAACCTTTAGGGGAAACTCCCACAGGTGGTCTATCAGGGGCACAGCACAACTTGCAAAGATCTTGGCAGGGAGGAAACGATTTTACCTTTGCTTTTTCCAACTGTGCCTGGGCCTGCCGCTCCGCTTCTCTGCGCACTGCCTCCCGGTCCTCCTCCAGAGATACATCGGAATCGGATGGACGGCTAGTGTAGGAGTCTGCCGAACCCTGGAGAGGAAAATGTACATTTTAAAGTAGATTCAGTCTATGATGTTTGCATTGGAAAAGTCTCATCGACACAGCAGTTAGCTTCCCGGATTGTTCTATACTTTCCTGAAAAGAGGAGAAAATAATTCATTTTGCAGCAACCTATCTAGAAAACCATGCTCTGGTTTGCAGACATTCAATAGAATAGTTGTGTCTACTGAGTTGCCATTCCTTCCCAAGCTTTATATTCCAAAAAACTATCCTTCCTGGAAGCCAGAACAAGTTGGTTTTATAATTAAACAGCTTGATGGTGCAGTGCAGAACTGAAGGACAACGATGGGTTTCAAGGATAGCTTCAAGAACAATCTACATGCTAAAGCAGGTATTTGAAACTAGGAGGACATTAAGCTTAACAAAAACATGAAAGAAAGTCTGAGTTATAAACTTGAACTCTCCAAAATGTCACTACCATGACATGATTCCCACTTTAATCTGAAAAAGCCTTGTTTACCTTTTTATACACCTGCTATTTTCTCTGATAAAACTGTAAGACACTAGCAGCTAACTTCACTCCATCTTCCAGCAACACATTTTAAAATACCTTTACCTAGATTTAATAAAAAGCCGTCTACAGAAAACACCTGCCTGGGATAGCTCATCTGGCAATTAATCACAACCTAGGAAAAGGAGCTCAAAAAATGAGAGGAATCTCCCTAGCTTCCCTCTCCTGCAATCATGATCCGATTAACCAAATCAAACCACCCTCTCTACCTGCACTCACTGCAACAACAGAAAAGCAGAGACAAAATAACCTCTCCCCACAAACGAAAGCCCTTGCGCTTACACAGATATCAGAATTCTTCAGCCTTCCTCCCTTGGCTCTTTTCAGAAGCCTGATCCAGGTGGCCTTCATGAGCCAGACAGCGCCTTTATCGTCCGCAGCTGCAGCCCCGGGCACAGGTTCTCAGTGCGCGCTGAGCCCCGGAGAACCCCAGCTCCTTTCCTATCCATGCTCTGGGCAAGCCCCTGTTCTCCGTCCCTTTCTGCCTCCGGGGCTTTCACTCCCTGCCCCAGAGGACTCCCATCCAGGGAGATTCTTATTTTCCCATTCCAGGAGGGGCTGAAAACACACACTCGAGTGCTTTATATTGCTTTAAAAATAAAGAAGACAAGTGCATTCAAAAGCCGAGCATCAACTCGTTCTAAACTTAATGCATCTCATAACCCTAAACATTCTCTTCCCTGCGCTCAAATTGTTAAAAGAAATTAGTTGTAAAAGAATCGCAGAAAAAAAAAAAAAAAAACTAGTGCAAAAACGTATGCAGTGACATTTGCAAGTGCAAAGTTCAAGCCTTATCTTTGGAGATCTCGAGGGGGAGGGGGGAGGCGGAGGGAGGAGGACGCACTCCCACACTGGGCATGCTCCATATGTCGCCTTTTTACGCAGATGCTCACATCACACTGTTAGTCTATGTCAAATTGCCATTTTACATCCGAAGTGTAAACAGCTGGAAAGGTCTCTTCGGTTCTATAGTAATCGGGCTCGTGGTATGTGTGTCTGTTTCTGTTTCAGATGAAACCTTCTCTCAAAAACAAAGCATGAGATCGTTTCCTTTAATAATCCCTTTCCATTACCTGCTCCACTAAGTGTGTCCTATACCACAAGGAGGTTCACAGGTAGTAAATATCATATGCAATATTGCATAGCAAAAATCAAATAATGCTCATCAGTCATAATATAGCACAGTTCTTTATTGCTTGTGACTTTCCAAACAAGATGCAAGAGAGTGACGTGGCCATTTAATTAGGACACGAAAGTAATCACCGCTTTATAAAGCGTTGAGTTTAAAGGAGCTCAAAATGACTTCGAACTGCTTCTCCAACTGAGAAACTACCATTTGAAATAAAGCCACTGGCATAAACAGCAGTGTGAATTGTTATAACCATACTTACAAGGAAATTTCAAAGCTTGGTTAATTTATTAGTTGGAGTTAAAATTCACAGAATAATTGAGTCCCAACTCTGCTTGTAGATGAGGTGAGTGAGGCTGAAGAAGGAAAGACACTAAAGTTATTAATTTCCTGTACTAATGAAATTACATTTTAAAAGTTTACTTATTAAGAAATATACACTTTGTTTTCTTGACATAAACAAAATGCTCTCATTGTAGTCTAAACTGCATTTGTTTGAGTGTGGTGGGAGAATATTTTGTACAAATAAAAATGAAAAAAAAAAGTGTTCTTAAGAATACTTAAGAACCACAGCTGGCTGCAGTGGCTCACGACCGTAACCCTAGGACTCTGGGAGGCCAAAGTGGGAGGATTGCTTGAGCCCATGAGTTCGAGACCAGCCTGGGCAACATAGTGAGACCCTATCTCAAAAAGTCTTCCTCCCTCCTCCTCCCTTCTACCCTTCCTCCCTCCCCACCTGGCACTCTGCACTAATATAATCTTCAAGACCCAAATACTAGAAAATACGTAGAATAGGGGTTTCAGAATGAAAGTTAGTGATCAGTTGTACCTCAATTGTGGTATCTTGACGTAAATTAATAGATCACCTATTGTTATGATGTGACTGTAAAATGCATGGGGGATAAAAATGCACTGCAAACTCTTCGTTCAAGCAAATTTACAAGGGAGAAATGAGTGTGTCAACACATACACACCTGGTAGGGGATTCCTGATCTTCCTAGAGGGCTTCTTATAGTAGTAGCAGCACAGTAGAAAATTACCAGGAAGCATAATTATACCCCATAAGGGGCCCCTGTCCCCACTGTCACCAGTCTTGCCATGTTAGACCCAATCACCCCGCTACAGGTTCAAGTCACACCTCAATGAAAAGACAAAGCTTCTATCAGTAAGAACCCAGCAATGACAGGAAGTACATAAAGAGAGGGCCGCATAACACCCACACATAATTTTGTGCGGTCTCATTCCCGCGGTCGCATTCCCGGTCTCATTCATTATTTTAAAATAAGATATAAAAAGTCCTTTGCTAATATTCAGATGGAGCTTTTACATTGCATAGTCACTTTGAGACCTGTTTCCAGGTTTAAATAGCAGTTAAAAACAAAAATCTCTTCAATGACTTTTGGCAATGGCTTGACTATTTTATAATACAGGATGTGACTACCAATTGATCTTTAGAGTAGTTCATAGAAGCATAGAAAGAGCTGGATTACCTTCATTCCTTGTATCTCTGATAGTATATACTTTCACACAAAAACAATTGTGTGTGTGTGTGTGTGTGTGTATGTGTGTGTGTGTGT
The DNA here is from genome assembly GCF_000001405.40 of Homo sapiens. Lineage (NCBI taxonomy): Eukaryota > Metazoa > Chordata > Mammalia > Primates > Hominidae > Homo > Homo sapiens. The sequence goes on along the minus strand of NC_000010.11, from coordinate 18,398,676 downwards.
GTGTGTGTGACAGTCTCACTGTCACCCAGGCTTGATAGACTGCAGTGATGCAATCATGGCTTACTGCAGCCTTGACCTCCTGGGCGAAAGTGATCCTCCGGCTTCAGCCTCCCAAGCAGCTGGGAATACAAGCATGTGCTCCCATTCCTAGCTAATTTTTAAATTATTTTTTGTAGAGATGGGTCTCACTATGTTGCCCAGGCTGGCTGGTCTCAAACTCCTGGGCTCAAGCAATCCTCCTGCCTCAGCCTCCCAAAGTGTTGGGTTTACAGGTGTGAGCCACCTCACCCAGCCTCAAAATATTTTTCGTTATAGAAGTTATATGCACCCAGCATTGAAAGACACACAAATAACGATCCCCTGAAAGTCTCCCATCCAAAGACAGCCACAGTTAAATAGTAGCATGTTTCAGTATCTGAAGCTGTTGCATGTTTGAAAGTCACCCTCCTGACATATGCCTTACAGTTAATCTCCTTTCTTGTGGGAGTGTGGATTTATTCAGTTAGAAGTGATATATCTAATTAAGCTTTTATCTTTGGAAACATATGGACTTTCTGGGTCATCGTGCCTCAAGTAGTCTTCAGTCAGGAACAGCTGGCGGTCGTTTCCATAACTCCGGAATAGGTTCATTACAAAATGTACCCTTGATCTCTAGGGCTCTTACAACGTGATTAGCTGGTCTTTTGCAGTATTTGTCCTTGTCAGTGCATCACATTTCAGCTACCCAGATTTCCTTTTCTACATCTTAATACCTGCATTTCTATTTGGACATTTCTGAAAATGTAACTTGTACTACTGTGTACTAATAGTTCCTCCCAGGATCATCACCTTTTATCCTTAGAGCTCTCACTTTGTGGGTTCATTGCTCATAGGAAAATTGCATATCACTGGATTAATTTATGCTTTTATCTACTCTTCAATTTCTTTTTCCACTTTTTTTTTTTTTTTTTTTTTTTGAGACGGAGTCTCGCTTTTGCTCTGCTGCCCAGGCTGGAGTGCAATGGCATGATCTCAGCTCACTGCAACCTCCATCTCCTGGCTCCAAGCAATTCTCCTGCCTCAGCCTCCTGAGTAGCTGGGATTACAGATGTGCACCACCACACTCGGCTAATTTTTGTATTTTTAGTAGAGACGGGGTTTCATTGTTTTTCCACTTTTATGTCTAACGTTCACACAAGAAAGCGTCACCCTTTCTTTTTTCTTTTTTCTTTTTTGAGATAGTCTCACTCTGTTGCCCAGGCTAGAGTGCAGTGGCTCAATCTTGCCTCACTGTAACCTCTGTCTCCTAGGTTCACGTGATTCTCCTGCCTCAGCCTCCAGAGTAGCTGAAATTACAGGCATGCGCCACCAGGCCCGGCTAATTTTTGTATTTTCAGTAGAGACGGTTTTGCCATGTTGACCGGTCTGGTCTTGAACTCCTGACCTCAGGTGATCTGCCCACCTCGGCCTCCCAAAGTGCTGGGATTACTGGCTTGAGCCACTACACCTGGCCACCCTTTTTCTTTAATGCTTTAAAAAATTTATATACTTTGCTGTTTTGATGCTGTACTCTGCTGTTTCACAGTCATCTATATTTTCAGCATCAGTATTTTGGAGCATTCTTGTATTTTTCTCTTTTAAAGCCCAAAAGATAAGAGTTGTAAGCCTATTTCATAGCGGCATCTTGGATCCCAAATTGTGTTCTTCTCTTTCTGTAGGAAATCTTTATATGAAGTCTTAAAGCCATGTTCTTGAGCAAAATCAACTTTTTATGAATCCAAAGGCCAGTCTGATTCTAGACAAAGCTATAACTCATCAAAATCCTCAAGATTTTAGACCACCTCCTCATGCATAGGACGATGCTGACCCAATGGCAAACTCATTGCTTGCTGGTCAGGCCCACATATTTTAAAATAAAGCAAAATGGGGCCAGGCACAATAGCTCACAACTGTAATCCCAGCACTTTGGGAAGCCGAGGTGGGTGGATCACCTGTGGTCAGGAGTTCGAGACCAGCCTGACCAACATGGTGAAACCCTGTCTCTACTAAAAATACAAAAATTAGCCAGGTGTGGTGGCACATGCATATAATCCCAGCTACTCGGGAGGCTGAGGCAGGAGAATCGCTTGAACCCTGGAGGTGGAGGTTGCAGTGAGCTGAGACTGTGCCACTGCACTCCAGCCTGGCAACAGAGCGAGACTCCGTCTCAATCAATCATCAATCAAAATGGGATAGACTTCAGCGGGCCAGGACCAAGGGGAAAGGGTTCTATCTTGTATTGTCTGTGGGGGAAGGGAGATAATTCTTTCATTTTTCATGGTGTTGTCATCTCTTTTCACAGTTTAGAATTACCTTCTGTTCTCTGGTGCAATGTAGATGCAAGAAATCTGAATTGCTATTCTCTGCTTTACTGGTTTCTTCATAAATAAAATCATAAACTATGGGCTGCATGCTGGCTCATGCCTGTAATCCCAGCACTTTGGGAGGCAGAGGCAGGCAGATCACTTGAGGCCAGGAGTTCAAGACCAGCCGGGGCAACATGGTGAAACCCCATCTCTACTAAAAATACAAAAATTAGCCAGGCGTGGTGGCAGGTGCCTGTGGTCCCAGCTACTCGGGAGGCTGAGGCAGGAGAATCGCTTGAACCTAGGAGGCAGAGGCTGCAGTGAGCAGAGAATACAACACTGTACTCCAGCTTGGGTGACAGAGGGAGACCCTGTCTCAAAATAATAACAATAAAATCATCAACTATGTACTGATGAGAGATCCTGACTCTAAACACTGAAAAATGACATAGCGTGCCAAGATGCGGGACAGTTGCATAAACATTGTATACCTTAGTTTGCAAACTGTCGTGTAATTATTATTCAAATTCATACGATGATGAAAATCTCAAATGTGATTGACCTATCATTTAGCTGAGTGTCAAAATAGTAACAGAGGTGATAGCAATACATCGCTGCAGGGTCATCCCTGTGTGATACTTTTATGATCCTGTAAAAGCCAAAATGTCAGTTTCAATTTTCTCAAGACAATATGAAAATTTATAAACATATAGCTATAGGATGTACTAATGAAGAGATTAAATTTTATTTAACAACTCCCCAAACTACATGCAATTATTGAGTACTTATTACTTTGAAACTCTGTGCTGTAACTGTGAGCTAAATACTGAAAACAGGGCTGTAAAAAAGATTAAAGCTTTCTGTCATGAAACTTAATATCTCAGTGAAGGAAACTGATTTTTTTTTAAAAGGCACCAGAAAAATAACGGCTATGAGAGACAAGAAAAAAAGCTGAGATAATAAAATGATGGTGGGAGGGATGGTATTTTAGTTAGAGTAATGAGATGACAGTCTGCAATGACACTAAGCTGAAATCTAAACGATGAAAGAAAAAACTCAGCCCTGCAACGCATTGAGAAGAGGGATGTCTGGGCAGAAAGAACATCATATGCAAAGGCCTTGTGTACAAGAAATGCTTGCATGTCTGAGGAATTGAAAAGAGGTCAGTGTATCTAACATGCTAACATTAATTTTTAGTAAGATTTATTTAAACTTGTTCAGTCTCTCTCTCTCTCTCCCTTCTCTTTTTCTCTCACTCTGCATGTGATATATACTCAGGCACTCCTGGAATACACATGTGAGACTCCATCAACATGGGATTACCTCCCAGAAAAACTCCTTCAGCCTGTGTGAGTTCCTTAATTCGGAGTTACATTTAAGTTGTTGTTAGTGAACTCCACGTTACTGGAAACATGATGTCTCCGGAGAATATAAACAGAGTTCTTGTATTTTCTTCCTTCTCAGTCCAGCACAATTACTTAGAGGCTAAAAGAGTGCGTTTTGAAGATTGTTTTATATTATACTCATAATGAGGATAATCAATTAAGATCAGGCTATGCACATAATAATACATCTTATTAATGATAATAATTGCAAATATTTCATAAATGCTTACACTGTGTCAGGTACTGTGCTGATTCACAAGTATTACCTAATGTAATTTCGATTATCTTCATTTTTACTGATGAGAAAACTGAGACATAGAGAAGCTACCTGAGCAAGGCCACGAAGCAGGGGACTCATTGCATAGCCAAATGCAAGTCATATAAATAACTCCCTGGCTAATTCCTCCCTTTGTAAAATGAGTATATAACAAATTGGATCCACAGAGTTAGGAGTAAACCTTTAGCAGTCAAATTTCAAGTGCCATGCATGTGTCTGCTCATAAAAAGAAAAGCTAGGACAAATTCCTACATGCATCTGATGTTTTTGTTAATCAAAAGCATATGTTTTTTCTGTTTGTTGGTCATAGGTATAGCCATTTCTAACGATCATAAAGGCATCGTGATAGTTTTGTAATGCTTAGCTATGTCTTTGCTAAGCTTTAGGCACGCTCGCTTGCTCTCTCTCACACACATCTATAAATTTTCGAATTTGGGCCAGGCGCAGTGGCTCACGGTGAAATCCCAGCACTTTGGGAGGCCGAGGCAGGCAGATCACCAGGTCAGGAATTCGAGACCAGCCTGGCCAAGAGACCAGCCTGGCCAATATGGTGAAACCCTGTCTGTACTAAAAATACAAAAATTAGCCAGGCATGGTGGTGGGCGCTTGTAATCTCAGCTACTCGGGAGGCTGAGGCAGAAGAATTGCCTGAACCTGGGAGGCAGAGGTTGCAGTAAGCCAAAGATTGTGCCACTGAACTTCAGCCTGGCAACAGAGTGAGACTCCTACTTGGAAAAACAAAAATTTCAAATTTTATCTTTCCAAAAAGGCACAACGAAAGTACACCGAGGGCTCATTTTACATTCATTAATAGAATGCTGTTTTGTGGAAAGACTTGGCTGCTCCTCTGAAATTTTCCTCACTTCAGAGTATCTCAGCATCACCAAGCATTCTTTTCATTACTTATCTACAAGGGAAAGTAGATTAGAATCGGAAAACAATAGAAGCCAAGACACCGGCTATTTAAGTTTTTCTCTCTTTGCTGAAAATGAATAGAACTTTGGCAAGCTGGCCTTCAGTAGACTGGTCGGCAGCTCATCCTGCCTGAAAGTGGCTAGGATTCAAGTGTCTTCTTTCAGTGCAAAAGGAACAGTTGCTGGTTTTCAGTACTGAAGCTGAAGTTATTATAAAGTACAAATAGTAGGCAAGAAGTTCAGACATGTGACTTTCATTTTTTTAAAAAACGAACATATCAAAATGCTGTTACCACCAAATTATTCCTTAACATGAGGGTATGATGGCTATTTACAGTTTATAGAAGAGCCTCTGCTCAATATTTGCAAAATTTGACATTGTCCAAAGGAACCATTTTGAAAAAGTTAAAATTAGAGGGGCAATTTTGATATTATTTTGAGTTTTGGATTTCAGTCATAGGCTAAGTAATTTAAAAAAATTAGAACATTATGTATGTGTATGTGTGTTTTGGGAAAATTTTCTAGGCCTTTAATATATATCTACTGATGATGACAGATGACATGATTTTTTTTTTTTTGACATGGAGTCATCCAGGCTGGAGTACAATGGGGCGATCCCGGCTCACTGCAATCTCCGCTTCCCGGGTTCAAGCGATTCTCCTGCCTCAGCTTCCTGAGTAGTTGGGATTACAGGTGCCCACCACCATGCCCAGCTAATTTTTGTATTTTTAGTAGAGATGGGGTTTCATCATGTTGGTCAGGCTGGTCTTGAACTCCTGAACCCAGAGGATCTACCTGCCTCGGCCTCCCAAAGTGCTGGGATTACAGGTGTGAGCCACCGCATCCAGCCAATGACAAGAATTTTTTCATGCTAATATAATTTTTTATATACAAACTATCTTATCAGTTATGAAATTGAAAACAAGTAGGCAGGGAGCAGAAAAATAGTGGCTTGGGAGAGTTGAACTGTCTCAATACATAGCTGCAGAAAATTCAATGAAATGGGAGAAAAGGAGTGAATAAATTGTATGTAGGGAATTTTTGGTCTAGAAATTCATGCTGGTTACAGGTACTCCAGAAACTGCATGGATGTCACTACACTTAGGGTTTTTCTATTGAATCATTTGAATCAGCAAACTCACGTGATTATTTCTCTCTTCCTAAGAAAACCTTTCCTTGACTCCATTTTCTCTGCCAGCTCTTGTCCAGTTTTCCCCTCTCCTTTGCAGAAAAAATAATGCATAGAAAAAGTTGGCTCTGCTCCCTCTAACTCTTCTCTTCCTGTTCTCTCTTAAATATACTTCCTCCTATTCCTCCTACCACTCCACTAAAACTGTTCATCAAGGTCATCAATGATGTCTCTAAGGCTACATCGATGGCTGATTCTCAGTGCTCATCTTACTCCAGCAATCAGCAGCCTTTAACATCACTGATCATCCCCTGTCCTCTCTTCATTTTCTCAACTTGACTTCCAAGAAACCACTCCCTCTTGGTCTTTCTCTTTTCCCATTGGCTGTTCCTTCTAAGTCTCCTTTGTTAGTAACGTCCTCTTCCGCTGATCTCTACACCCTCTCCCTGCCACCTCGCTCTCCCTTCTTTCGGCTCTAACCTTGTTGGGCCCCTTGATATTCCTCAGAGGTACCAGACACTCTCCTCCCCTAGATTTCTACCCTTCTAACTCTATCACCTCCTCTAAGTCTTTGCTCAAAATCTTTCTCAATGAGGTCTTCTGCAACCATCCTATTTCAAATTGTAACCCCCATTGATTGCAGCGGTATTTCCAATCTCACTTACCCTGTTCTACTTTTTTAAAAATAGTGCTTTTACCTTCTTTTTTTTTTTTTTTTTTTTGACAGGGTCTTACTCTGTCACTCAGGCTGGAGTGCAGTGGCACAATCTTGGCTCACTGCAACCTCTGTCTCCTGAGCTCAAGGGATCCACCCACTTCAGCCTCCTGAGTAGCTGGGACTATAGGTGCGCACCACCATGCCCAACTAATTTTTCGTATTTTCTGTAGAGATGGAGTTTCACCATGCTGCCCAGGCTGGTCTCGAACTCCTGGATTCAAGAGATCCATGTGCCTCGGCCTCCCAAAGTGCTGGGATTACAGGTGTGAGCCACCACGCCCAGCCTATTAGTGTTTTTACCTTCTAACATATAATTTACTTACGATATTGTTTAGTATATGTCTCCCTTGATTAGGATATAACACCCACGAGGATGGATTTTTTTAAATGTTTCACTTACTCCTATATCCCAAGTGCCTGGAATAGTGCCAGGCATGGAATGCATGCTCAACAAACATTTGTGGAATGAATGAATAAGGACTGAAAGAGAGAAAACCTCTTCTCTCTTACATCCTATAGTTTAAAGCTCTCCCAATTTACAAGAAAGCTCTCCCGATCCATTTTCGCATTCCTAAACATTCTTAAACATTCCTAAATGTGCTAGTGTCTCTTTCTTAATTAAAAAACACAAACAGAAATGTGACTTTCCATGATGAACGGATGATAAATATTTATAATGAATAAAGAATAAAACAAAGGCTTCAGCTTGAAGCTATCCCCAGTGTTTTATCACAAACCTCCACAAATGCCAACTTAATTAACTTGGTGCAAATGTCAACTATAGGCCAGTTGATTAAATAACCATGTTTCATAACAAGCAAGCCACTCCAAAAACAGTCATTGTACTTGAAATTTGTTTAGCATCCTTTTTCCAGTGAATCTAAGAGAGACTTTATATTTTGAAAATATGATTACAACTTATTTTTTGTGAAGCTTCTTTTCCCATTAATTCTGCTTCTTCATTCCAGGAACTTAAAGTTCCAATCCTAAAAGTACCAGTGACTCATTGCATAGCCAAAGGCAAGGCATGTAAATAATTCTCTGGCTAATTCTCTCATTTGTAAAATGAGTATACTAAATTGAAGCTACTAGAAAGAATGCACTTGCAAATTTTCTTACAGATGGTTGCGAATATATTGTAAATATAACATATTGTGTGAGTGACTGTTGATTTACTTCTTATGCACTACCCCTGACATTCCTATAGAGATGGAGTTCAAATTTACAGCAGAAAATATGACTATACATATAACTTATAATAATTCAGAATGTTTCAAAAATCAAGCCAATACAGGGAGAAGATATTTCTTCAAGCAATGTTGGGTAATATAAAGGAATGCAACTGAATAACTGGACAAATAAATATAAAACTCTAGAATATCTTAATAGACTCTCTACTACCAAAGAAAGACCATGTTGGCTGGGCCCCGTGGCTCATGCCTGTAATCCCAGCACTTTGGGAGGCCAAGGTGGGCAGATCACAAGGTCAGGTGTTCGAGACCAGCCTGGCCAATATGGTGAAACCCCCATCGCTACTAAAAATACAAAAATTAGCCAGGCATGGTGGCGGGTGCCTGTAGTCCCAGGTACTCGGGAGGCTGAGGCAGAAGAATCACTTGAACTCGGGAGGTGGAGGTTGCAGTGAGCCAAGATCATGCCACTGCACTCCAGCCTGGGCGAAGGAGTGAGACTCCGTCTCAAGAAAAGAAAGGCCATGTCAAAAGATGGTACATCCAAGTGCCAGGCCTTTTCTTGAGCAGCGAAACAATCAAACAAATGAATCTGGGCTCTTTCCTTCCAAGATGAGTTCTCCCGGGTGGCAATGAACAATTAATCTACAGGCATGAATGAACAGCTAACTTCTGTGTTCTCCAGGGAACTACACACTTGTGAAAAGGGATATGGCTTCAGTCCTTAAATATTTTACTGTTTAACATTTTCTTTGCATATATAAAAGGCACACTAATTGATAAGTAAAACAGTAAGAAATGAATTGATATAAATAAAGGATATTAATAGAAAATTCACGAAAAAATCAATTAGCCATAAGCATCTGGAAAAGATGTTCAACCTCATTAAATTAAACACAATACCATTTTCCATCATTAAACCAATGCTCTTTGCAAAGTCCCAATTCACAATGTCAGGGGGACACACTTAAATTGATACTTTCACACCTTGTTGATAGTTTTTGGCTTTCACGCAACCCTTTGGGAAGACAATTTACTTTCTATGTGTAACTAGACATGCATTTAGATGTACCTAGGCTATTAATTTCACTTCTAGGAACTAGTTTAAGAAAATTTTAAAATTATGGTTCACATGCTTAGTAGACTATTAGATAACCTTGAAAATAGTTACAAAGACTAAAGATGATTACAGGCAAATGTTTATGATGACTGTATTTAATAAAACCAGAAAACAACAACAAAAACAAAACTGAATCATTTCTATATATACATACATTCACGTATGTAAAACAAATAACAGAGGCAAGGCACAGTGACTCATGCCTGTAATCCCAGCACTTTGGGAGGCCCAGGTGGGAGGACTGCATGAGCCCAGGAGTTCAAGACCTGCCTTTGCAACATAGGGAGACCCTGTCTCTACAAAAACATTTTAAAAATGAGCCAGGCATGGTGGCACACACCTGCAGTCCTAGCTACTTGGGAAGCTGAGGCAGGAGGACTGCCTGAGCTCAGGAGTTCAAGGCTACAGTGAACTGATCATGCCACTGCAATCCAGCCTGGGTGACAGAGTGAGACTCCCATCTCAAAAAAACAAAAACAGTAACAGAAGAGATAAGGTTGGATTCCATTTTCTCAAAAAATGTTGGGAGTTCAGTTAAATTCTTTTCCTGTAATGTTCCTATGTTTGTGAATAAAAGGCCCTTCCTATTGCAATTGAAATTTCTCACAAAGTACCCTGAAAATATTTTTGATGTTGTAAAAGAGATGATTTATACATATTTTCTGTAATTGATTCACCTTCGTAGTTGTTTGCATATGGGGAAGGGAGGCAAGGACCAGGTCTCCTGAAAGCCTCTTTATGCACATGAAAAACAGAGAACAAAGTAAAGGTTGCTATGGGAATTATGACAGGCAAGAAAATAATTAAAAGAAAAGTACTTAGACATAAAATTTTATGATTATGAAGTAAATTTCTCTGTGTATAATGTATAGAAATGATTATTTAAGTGTCTACCTGAAATACTGGATTTTTCTCCTATGATTGCTTAAATAATTTGTTGGTACTAGGTTAGGTACTTAAGCAGGCCAAAATGACCCAGTAATTTGGTAGTAAAATATTAATATACTGTTCTAAAAGTCTAACCTTCTGGAAAGATATGACTTTGGTTCAGAGAGACTTAATATTAAAAAAACAGGCTACACCATCAGGGATTTGTCTGGAAAAATGCCAGTGGTGTGGAGTACTCAGAAATAAAGCACTGGAAAGTACCCTAGGGACCTAATATAGTTAATGTATCCCTTAAGCAGCAAACCCACCTTCAGGAGGTGATTTCAGAACTAGAGACAATCTGGTTCATTCACCTCTGTGTTTTAAAAAGGCTGTAAATTTTAGATTATTTAGCTGGAAATGTGCCACAGATATATAATATTAATATTAGAAAATCTAGACTATATTCAGAACGTTTAATAAAATACTGGACATATACCATTGGTCAAAAGTAGTTTATATCCTATTTCTTGTCTTGCAAATGAAAAAGCATCTTTTGTTGCATGAAAATATCTGCTCTATTTTGCATTTGAAGGTGTAATGGACTTTAATGATAGCAAAACTTCCATCAAGCAGGGCAAAAATGGCCTGACAGTTTGGTAAGAATACATTTTGGTAAGGATGAGAAATGGCTTGGGCCAGGTGCAGTGGCTCACTCCTATAATCCCAGCATATTGGGAGGCCGAGGCAGGAGGATTGCTTGAGCTCGGCAGTTTGAGACCAATGTGGACAACATAACGAGACCCCATCTGTACAAAAAATTTTAAAACGAGCTGGGCATGGTAGCACACACCTGTAGTCCCAGCTACTTGGGAGGCTGAGGTGGGAGGATCACTTGAGTCTGGGAGGTGAAGGCTGCAGTAAGCCTTGATTGTACCACTGCACCCCAGCCTGAGTGACAGAATGAGAGCCTGTCGCTAAAAAAAAAAAAAGAGAGAAAGAAATGGCTCGGTGACTATGCTGACAGCTGTCTGTTGACTTGCACGAGGGTGACCACAGTCTCACAGCCTGGTAGTGTATGCATATGTTATGTGCTAGATCCTTCTACTATTAAGACACAAACCAGACTCAGATACTCCAAGCCAAAAATGCACCTACTGGCTTTTCTGCTTCATTTAAATGACAATCATTGGAAATGATGCACAACTCAGTATTATTATTATCTCCTTTTCCCAACACATATATACAGTAGAATGTAATACTCAAAGGAGGGCAGGGAGCTTTTTTTGTTTACCTCTGTTCCCCAATCCCAGAGCACTCCCAGTGGACATGAGGGAAGAAGAAGTGATTGGGGTTCCCAGTCGAGTGAGGGAGACACATCACAGAGGCTGTAACACAAAACATTATTTTATGACAGTTCTGATAACTACTATAAAGGAAAGCCATGGGACACTATGAGGGAAGATGGCAGGGAGATGAAGATGGGACTCAGAAGAAGCTTCTAAAGGGAAATAGATATTTAGGCTGTGTTTTGCAGCTGGCAGGAAACAGTCATAGATACAGGCAAGGGAACAACATTCCGAGGCAGAAAGACCAATGGGAAGGGGTGGAGGATCTTCGAGTTTCTAAGGAGCAAGAGCTTAGTGACCAAGATGACGGCTCTGAGACGACTCAGCTAGATCTGCCTTCTGAAACTCAGTACTTTCAGTTTATACCAGAAGTATTATACACCGTGATTATACGCTGGAGCGTTTAATTATGAAGGGAATTAAATGATGATAATACTGTTACTGCCTTAATTTCTTCTGGATGAATACCTGGGATCAACTTTCATGATCCTTCATCATCATCATCACATTTACATCCAACTATTCTGTCAACAATTATCTACCATGTGCTGGGCACTGAGGATCTAAGAATATAGATGACATATTCTCTGTTCTCCAATAGCTTCCAGTACCTAGCTCTCTTACCAACTGATACTTGAAACACTCCAAAACATAAAAGCTATACATTTTACTATATCAGATTAAAAATCATAAATAAAGGCAGGGCGCAGTGGCTCACGCCTGTAATCCCAGGACTTTGGGAGGCTGAGATGGGTGGATCACGAGGTCAGGAGATCGAGACCGTCCTGGCTAACACGGTGAAACCCTGTCTCTACTAAAAAAAATGCAAAAAAATTAGCAGGGCATGGTGGCGGGCGCCTGTAGTCCCAGCTACTTGGGAGGCTGAGGCAGGAGAATGGTGCAAACCCAGGAGGCGGAGCTTGCAGTGAGCCGAGATGGCGCCACTGCACTCCAGCCTGGGCGACAGAGTGAGACTCCGTCTCAAAAAAAAAAAAAAAAAAAAATCATAAATAAAAGAGCAACAGTAAAGTTGCTCATATACTGATGATATATACAGAATATGTCATCATATGCTGACAAAAGTTTGATGCCTTCATATATTAATACATCTTATAATCAATAAGAAAAACACCAACAACCCACTAGAAAAATAGGCCAAAAAAGCAGGGGAAGGAGAGACATTCCCAGAAAAAGAAACGGTTTTAAGCTAATGGAAAATGCCTAAGTTTAGTCCTGATGTTAAAACAGGGCAAAATCAAAGACAACACTAGTTTTAATTTTTATTGGCAAAGATTACAAGCAAAGCGAATGCACTGTTAGTGTGGTCCTCTCACACATTGCCCCTTATGGATAAAATTTGGTAGAATTTATCAAAACTGAAAACCTACCTTTGATCCATAATTCTAATTCTGATTCTGGGACTTTTATAGATATATACAAATGTGTACATAAGGATATATATATAAGAATATTTGTTATGGCACTATTTGTGATAACAGATTACTTTGAATAACATAACTATCAGTAGGGCACTGATAAAATTATGTTGCATCCATATGATGGCATATCATTTGGACATATAAAAAAATAAGTTATCTCTAGCGATACATGCTAATGTGAAATAATCTCCAAGATGTATTTTACAGGTTAAAAAGAAAAAAGCATCAGAAAAAGAAAAAACCATCAGAGAGTATTTTTCTATCATTGGTAGAAATACACCGTTTTGCTGTCATTTGAATAAATTTTTTTTTTTTTTTTTTGAGATGGAGTTGCACTCTTGTCACCCAGGCTGGAGTGCAGTGGCACGATCTCGGCTTGGCACGATCTCGGCTCACCACAAGCTCTGCCTCCTGAGTTCAAGCGATTCTCCTGCCTCAGCCTCCCTAGTAGCTGGGATTAGAGGCACACACCACCACGCCCAGCTAATTTTTTGATAAGTGCATTTTAAAGAATGCATACATTTATGAGTATGTAGGCTAGCTCTAGAACATTTAAGTGGCTGCACATTTTTAAAACCTGTGGGGGGCGAGGGGGGGGGGTATTACAAATCTCTATGGCATATTCAAAAGCAATTTAATTAGAGCCTCTGGAGGTGGGATAAGGCAACCGTTTTTTTTTTCCTTCTTAGAGTCTCTCTCTGTTGCTCAGGCTGGAGTGCAGTGGCATAATCTCGGCTCACTGCAACCTCTGCCTCCCGGGTTCAAATGATTCTCCTGCCTCAGCCTCTCGAGTACCTGGGATTACATGTGTCCGTCACCATGCCCAGCTAATTTTTTTTGTATTTTTAGTAGAGATGGGGTTTCACCAGGTTTGCCAGGCTGGTCTCGAACTCCTGACCTCAGATGATCCACCCACCTCGGCCTCCCAAAGTGCTGGGATTACAGGCGTGATCTACCGCACCCAGCCGGCAACTGTTCTTTTCAAAGTTCTGCATGTGATTCTACTGTTCAGCCAAGGTTGAGAACCACAATGCCAGAGTGACACCAAGAACCTGGTCACCGTGGTTGCTTGTGGGGAAGAAAACTGAGGAACCAGCAGCCAGAGATGGGAGGGACTTAACCTGGCACTGGGTAACCTCTTGTAATGCTTGATTTTTTTTTTTTTTACCATGTTCATATTACTTTATTTTTGGTTTTGTGGGTTTTTTTTGTTTTTTGTTTGTTGTTGTTGTTTTGAGACAGGGTCTCACTCTGTCACCCAGGCTGGAGTACAATGGCAATATCTCAGCTCGCTGCAACCTCCACCTTCCAGGCTCAAGTGATCCTCCCACCTCAGCCTCCCAAGTAGCTGGGATTGCAAATGTGCACCATCACGCCCAGCTAATTGTTTTTTTCTTTTTTTGGAGAGACAGGGTTTCACCACGTTGCCCAGGGTAGTCTCGAAGTCCTGAGCTCAAGCGATCTACCCCCATTGGCTTCCCAAACTGCTGCCATTACAGGCATAAACCACTGCGCCTGGCCAACCATATTCATACTACTTTAAAAAGAGACATTTAAAAGGAAAATTTCCAGGTCATTTTCTATGAAAGACTTGGGATACCTTTCTCCACTCTCGATTTCTGTGGTAATTTTTCACGTAATATACACAGCCATTACTTGGAAATTGTTTTTCAATTACAGAAAAAGAGGTACACTATATTTTTATCATGAAAAATATTCAAGTTGCCCTCAAAACATGACCACAGATCGTGATGATATGGCCAAGACACCATATGCTGGTCCTATTGATCTTCGGGAGTCTCAGTACTGACTCTACCAGTGACTACAGGTTCCTTGGGAACACGGTGCCTCTTTGGCCCTGATAACCTTGCTTCTGGATGCACTTTTTACCTTCTCCTAACAATGTGAAAGATCACAGATTTTACATAAATAACTGTGGCATTTTAAACAGCATTCTATGGCTGGGCGTGGTGGCTCATGCCTGTAATCCCAGCACTTTGGGAGGCCGAGGTGGGCAGATCACCTGAAGTCAGGAGTTTGAGACCAGCTTGACCAACATAGTGAAATCCCATCTCTACTAAAAATACAAAAATTAGCCGGGCGTGGTGGTGTGTGCCTGTAATCCTAGCTACTCTGGAGGCTGAGGCGGGAGAATCGCTTGAATCCGGGAAGCGGAGGTTGTACCGAGTCGAGATTGAGCCACTGTGCTCTAGCCTGGGCAACAGAGCAAGATTCCATTTAAAAAAAAACAATGGCACTCTATTCGCTACTCTGTATTCCTCTTCTCTGCTTAATATCTCCCCAACCTTCTGGTGCACCATCTACATACTTATGTATTTATTTATGGTTTACCCCTCGCTGCTAATATGAAAGCTTCATGAAAGTAGGGATTTGTGTTGCCTCTGTCACTGCTGAATCCCCAAGACCTAGCACAGGGCTTGGCACATGAAGACGATATTGCTCTGTTATACACCTCTATGAACATAACAAGCCTCACTCTTCCCACTCCACTACCACAACCCTAGTCAAGTCACTCACCTGTACTGCGTAGACTCTTACGGTGCCTTTGTAATTAGTCTCTCTGCTTATACCCACTTCTGCTAGCCCCTCTATATTCCAGTGGCCAGGTTCATCTTCAGACATACAGCAGATCGTTTCATTCCTCTATCTAGAAGACTTCAATTTCTTTCTATTCCACTTAAAATCCATGCTCCTTACCTGTATAATGTGGCCTTTGCCTATGCCTTTAAACACATCCTGTACCAGAATAAATATTTGTAGCTAACAGAATAAAGTATGTGTCTGTCACATCAAACCTTGGATGACACCGGCTGTTAAGCAGGTAAAAATACAACTTCTGTGGCTTTGGTGAGTGTTCCATGGATTTTGTCACATATAATATAACATGCATATTTCCTACCAGTGGGAAATGCCATCATGAGTGAAACAGCACCCGTGCCATCCTGTGGGCTAGGAAAACACAGAAGAGACACCAAGCTTGTGGCAATTCATTAAAGATCTAGAACCAGAAATGCCATTTAACCCAGCAATCCCATTACTGGGTATATACCCAAAGGAATATAAATCATTCTATTACAAAGACACACACACTCGTATGTACATTGCAGTACTATTCACAATAGGAGAGACATGGAATCAACCCAAATGTCCATCAATGATGGACTGGATAAAGAAAAGGTGGTACATATACATCATGAAATGCTATGCATCCATAAAAAGGAATGAGATCATGTCCTTTGCAGGGACATGGATGGAGCTAGAAGCCATGATCCTCAGCAAACTAACACAGGAACAGAAAACCAAACACTGCATGTTCTCACTTATAATTGGGAGCCGAACAATGAGAACACACGGACACAGGGAGGGGAACAACGCACACTGGGGCCTGTTGGTGGGTGGGGAAGGGAGAAGGAGAGGATTAGGAAAAATGGCTAATGCATGCTGGGCTTCATACCTAGGTGATGGGTTGATAGGTACAGCAAACCACCATGGCACACATTTACCTATATAACAAACCTGCACATCCTGCACATGTACCCAGGAACTTAAAATGAAAATAAAAAATTTTAAAAAAAGAGGCACTGAGCTAACTCACCGAAGAATACTCAATACAAAGAAAGATACAACTGTCTAAGCAGAGAAAAAAGGCAGTTCTGGAGTGATATACATTCACAGAGTTATGAGACGAGACAGCCCTCCTGAAAAATCTGGAAAATTCTAGACAATGCTGGAGGACACAAGATCCATTCTGAGCAAGTATATTTTATTATTATTGTTGCTGTAATTTTGCTATATTTAAGATTAATTTTTAGCATTCTTCGGTGAGGTGAAAAACACACATGAACATCAGAGGTCCACCATATATCATTTATAACACATTTAATTTTGCTTAAGATGACGATATTATAAAAATACATAAAAGTCTCATTCTAATGTAAGTTCAATCCTTCTCAAGTTATGCTTTTGTGCTTGTCATGAAGAACCAAGTAAAAGAACATGTCCATATGATGTCCCAGGCGATGCCGGGGATAAGTGGACCCTACCTGCTATGGCCAGCAGGGTTTTGGTGCTCTGGGTGAGCCACATCATGAATGTGTATTGTTAGAGAATAGCATTTCTTAGGACCTGTTTCTGTGGGTACAGCATGATGTAATATACGAACACAACACTCATTAATACAATCCTATCCCTTCACATTCCAAATTCTACAGTCAACTAAGTTACATTAAAATGAACCTTTTTTTTTTTTTTTTTTGAGACGGAGTCTCACTCATGTTGCCCAGGCTGGAGAGCAGTGGCCTGATCTCGGCTCACTGCAACCTCCACCTCCCAGGTTCAAGCAATTCTCCTGCCTCAGCCACCCCAGTAGCTGGGACTACAGGTGCACGCCATCACGCCCAGCTAATTTTTGTATTTTTAGTAGAGACGGGGTTTCACCATATTGGCCAGGCTGGTCTTGACTCCTGACCTCCGGATCCACCCGCCTCAGCCTCCCAAAGTTTTGGGGTTACAGGCATGAGCCACGGTGCCCTGCTACATTCTTATACATGTCTTTTGACACCTGGATCATAGGGCATACACATGCTTAGCCTTAATAGGTATATTACCAAATGGTTTTACCAATTTATATACCAGTAATGTACGAGAGTTCATACATTTGGGAGGCCTTGGCCTCCCAAAGCACTGGGATTATAGGCGTGAGCCACCGCACCCGGCCAAAATGAACCATCTAGTAGGCAGGAGAGGCGAGGCTTGTGACCTGTGATTACTGACAACAGAACCAAGGAATGGCAGCCAGCAGTAGAATTTCCCCAGCTGGCCCTGTGTCTGGAGACTTGGTCTCTGCAGTTAGTATCCACAGCTCTGTCCATCTCACTACTTTCTCTCAGAACACCTGCTGCTGTCATTCTTCAGAGGGGCTCCTGGTGGTGTTTTCAAAGCAAGGCAGCCCACCACAGAGGAAGGGCATTACAGATTTCCGCACATAGGGGAAATATGCTAATTAATATAAGATCAAGATTGTATGAGGATCGCATGGTGAAAAGTCTACACATTTTCTTTAAAAGTAGGATCCCCCAGTTGGGATGTTATTTATCTCCTTTCCTATTCATCTTTTCTTTAATGCGCTGAAAAATTAAGAATATTATGATGCATCTTTCTCTAAACCTAACCTCAAAAATACATGTTTTGGCGGGGCGTGGTGGCTCATTCTTATAACCCCATCACTTTGGGAGGCTGAGGTGGGCAGATCACCTGAGCTCAGGAGTTCCAGACCAGCCTGGCCAACATGGTGAAACCCTGACTCTACTAAAAATAAAAATATTAGCTGGGCGTGGTGGCACGTGCCTATAGTCTCAGCTACTGGGGAGGCTGAGGCAGGAGAATCGCTTGAACCTAGGAGGCGGAGGTTACAGTGAACCGAGATTGCACCATTGCACTCCAGCCTGGGCAACAGAGCGAGACTCCATCTCAAAAAAAAAAAAAAAAAAAAGAAAAACACATGTTTCAAGTTAGCAATTTCTCATTTACTTTAGAAAGTAAAGAAGAATTTATTCTTAAAATAGTTCCTGACCCCTATGCAAAGAATGTACTTTGGTTCTCCTAGTTAGACTGTAATATTCAAGGGTTTTCAACCAATAAGACCTTTTAATTTTTATTTTTTTGCTAAGAAAAAACAAAATGAAAATGCCATTTGGTGGTTCAAAAAACATTTTAAAAATATTTTAAGAAGGAATGAGGAACACTGTTCATTCTTGAGATATGACCTTTAACCTGATTGAATTAAAACTAAAAATTTACATTGAAAAAACTTTTTAAGAATGTAAAGTTTCTGATAAATCTTGAAGACATTATGCAAACTGAGATAAGCCAGTCACAAAAGGGAACCTACTGTATAATTCCATGTATATGAAATCCCCAGTGTAGTCAAATTCATAGAAACAGAAGGTAGAATAGTGGGCCAGGTGTGGTGGCTCATAGCTGTAATCCCAGCACCTTGGGAGACCAAGACAGGAGGATTGCTTGAGCCCAGGAGTCTGAGACCAGCCTGTGTAACATGGTGAAATTCCGTCTCCACAGAAAATACAAAAATTAGCCAGGCGAGGTGGTGCATGCCTATAGTCCCAGCCACTTGGGAGGCTGAGATGGGATAATCGTTTGAGACTGGGAGGTTGAGGCTGTAGTGTGCTATGATCGCATCACTGCACTCCAAGCTTGGGTGACAGAGTGAAACCCTGTCCCCTTGTCCAGAAATGTAGAATGGTGGGTGCTGGGGCTGGGGAGTGGTGAGAATGGAGAGTTAGTGCTTAATGGGCACAGAGTTTCAGCCAGGAAAGACGAAAATGTTCTGGAAATGGGTAGTGGTGATGGTTGTACGACAATGTGATGGATTAGTGCTGTAGAACTGTACACTTAAAAGTGATTAAAATGGGGCCAGGCACAGTGGCTCATGCCTGTAATCCCAGCACTTTGGGAGACTGAGGCAGGCGGATCGCCTGCGGTCAGGAGTTCGAGACCAGCCTGGTCAACATGGTAAAACCATGTCTCTACCAAAAAATACAAAAATTAGCTGGGCATGGTGGTGAACGCCTGTTGTCCTAGCTACTAGGGAGCCTGAGGCACGAGAATCGCTTGAACCTGGGAGGCAGAGGTTGCAGTGAGCCAAGATCACACCGCTGCATTCCAGCCTGGATGACAGTGAGACCCCTGTCTCAAAACAAACAAAAAATAAATAAATAAAAATAAATAGAAGTGGTTAAAATGGCAAATTTTATATTATGTA
Source organism: Homo sapiens (assembly GCF_000001405.40). NCBI lineage: Eukaryota > Metazoa > Chordata > Mammalia > Primates > Hominidae > Homo > Homo sapiens. The sequence continues at coordinate 18,379,162 of NC_000010.11, read as the reverse complement.
TGTTTTGCCACAATAAAATAATTTTTAAGAAAAGACAAAGCCAAATTTGATTTCAGGTGGAGAACTCAAGAGTAAGCCTCAAAATTTACAATAAAAAACTGACACACAGAAGAAATTCTCTCTAGTAAGCAAATGGATGCATTACAATAAAAGTCTGCTGGAAGAAAGCCCGGGTTCCTGGCTTTGGAACACTGGTCTGTGCTGTTGGCCCCCAGCACCTAGAACAGCCCTGGGCTGGCAGGCACTCAACTCAAATTTGTTCTAAGGAGTTGGGAGCAGAAAGAGGAAGGGAGGTAATTTTTGGTTTTAAAATTGAAGTTTATAATTCTGAAGAGCCCCTTTCAGAACCCCCTGACCTGTGAATGGCTGATTTAGGCATACTTAACCGTCAGGCCACCGTGGAGTCTATTTTCTATTTTTTGAGACAGGGTTTCCCCAGACTGGAGTGCAGTGGTGCCATCATAGCTCACTCCAGCCTTGGCCTTCTGGGCTGAACCGATCCTCCCACCTCGGCCTCCCGAGTAGCTGGGATCACAGACGCACACCACCACTCCTGTATAATTTCAAAAAATTATTTGTAGAAACAGGGTCTCACTATGTTGTTCAGGCTGGTCTCCAACTTCTGGGCTCAAGTGATCCCCCTGCCTTAGCCTCCCAAAGTTCTAAGATTACAGGCATGAACCACCATGCCCGGCCAACTGTGGAGTCTAATAATTACAGCTCTGATTAATTGACGTACATATTTTGTATAAAGCAATTAAATCTAGAGAAAGAAATTTTATAGGTGCTACAGAATTATAAAAAGCAGAGAATGTCAGGCTGTGTCAGTGTTTTTGGTAACAAATAATTTCAAGCACTAAAATACCCAATTAACACTCATTCAGAATGAAAATGTTGACATATCACCAAATACACTGTCATTGGTTGAGTATAATAATTCCAATGTGAAAACTGACAGGTTCCAAGCTGTGCATTCAGGTCTAGGGAGAAGTTTATTATAATTATCAGTTGCGTGTCCCTGTAATTCAACCTCTCAGGTTTCCTAGCCTCCAGGCCCACACCCCACCTCCCATGCAAACTCTTGATTAGATCATTTCCCTAATGATAATGCCTTCCCAACAAGCAGCTGAAGCAGAATGTTCCTGGCTCCTAATTAACATGAAGACAACGACCTTTCAAAACAGCCAAAAGAAAGAGTTCAAGGGCCCTGTGTCTATCATAATTATAATTTTACTCAGTTCCCAGGTCTGGGTAAAAATTTAAATGTAACATCTGAATAAAGGGAGCGAAGGTTAATGTTTGTGTTGGCAAGTCTAATTTTCAGAAACCTTAATAAAACAGCTTTCTACCAAGTGGCATCTGTAGCGCATTCCCAATTTTTATACCAGGCTTGTGGAGAAAGCATAACGTTTTTGCTGGTATAAAAATACCTTCCCCGCTCTAACCACACAGACTATATCAGAGATCAGCCAACTATAGCTCATGGGCCTAAGTTGATCCACTGCCTCTTTGTATGGTTCTTGAGCTAAGAATGATGTCCACATTTTTAAGTAGTTGAAATCAATCAAAAGAAGAAGAACATCTCATGTTGCGAAAATTACATGAAATTCAAATTTCAGTGTCCCTAAATACAATTTTATTGGAACATGGCCACACTTAGTCTTGTACGAATTGTTCATGGCTGCTTTTATGGAGAACTGAGTGGTTGCAACACAGATCTTATGGCCTCAAAGCCAAATATATTTACTACATGGCCCTTGACAGAAAAACTTTGTCAACCTCTGTATTACAGGATACACCAGACATAATATTATATAGCTCACAAGATGTCAATACACATATTGGTAATATTGGTATCAAGTCATTCCTTACTCCAATTCTTCTTTCTATAAACGTAATGGAGGAGTTTAACTTTAGAAGCCATCTATGTAGTACAAGAAATCTCCTCCCCTTCTCACATACCCACTAATTAAAATTATTTACACTTAAACTGGTATCTTAGAACGGGTGGTTTTTGGTTTTCTTTTTGCAGGTGTATATATTTATGTGGTACATGAGATATGTTGATACAGGCATGCAATATATAATAATCACTTCAGGGTAAATGGAATATCCCTTACCTCAAGTATTTATCCTTTGGGTTAAAAACAATTCAATTATGCTCTTTTAGTTATTTTAAAATTTACAATTAAATTATTATTGACAGAGCAGGAACATCGCCATCTTGGACAAGCCGCTCATTCTAAAGTTCACCGTAATCAAAAACTGCCTAAATCCAAAGGGCATCAGCCTAATGGCTAAGGTCAGCATGACTATAAACCAAATAACATCTCCCAGCAGAAACATTCCAAACTCCTCCCTGACCGGGGACATGCTAGCCCTGAGATAAACCCTCTGGGAAGATGCCAGCCTTAAGATAACCCTCCTCCGAGCTGGAAAGATGTCTGCCCCAAGATAACCTCCCCTCTAGGCAGAGATAGTCCAACCCCACCATAAAACTTCTCCCTCACACAGAAACATTCTAAGCTTGTGATAAGCCTCCTCACCCTAAAACCACTCTAAGCCTGTAAGAGAAAGTGCTCCTGACCAAAATTGGCCAGAAGCCCCTCTCAAGTTTATTTTATCTAAAATAATTCTCTCTTTAACTGTCCAGCCACATTTTGTGTTTCTTTCCTCTTTCATTAACTCTTACAATTATTGGCTATAGTCATCCTGTTGTGCTACCAAAGACTAGGTGTTATTCATTCTAACTATTTTTTGGTACCCATTAACCATCCCCTTGTCCCCCAATGCCTGCCCCTACCACAACCTTTCCCAGTCTCTGGTACATGCTTCTACTCTCTATCTCCATGAATTCAATTGTTTTAATTTTTAGCTTCACACAAATAAGTGGAAGCTAGAACATGAGAAATTTGTCTTTCTGTGCCTAGTTTATTTCATTTAACATAACGACCTCAAGTTTCATCCATATTGCTGCAAAGGACAGAAACTGATTTTTTATGGCTGAATAGTACTCCACTGTGTAAATGTACCACATTTTCTTTATCCATTCATCTGCTGATGGACATTTAAGATGCTGCCAAATCCTGGCTACTGTGAATAGTGCTGCAATAAACATGGGAGTGCAAATATCTCTCCCAAATACTAATTCCCTTTCTTTTGGGTATATATCCAGAAATTGGATTGCTAGATCATATGGTAGCTTTATTTTTAGTTTTTTGAGCAACCTCCATCTGTTCTCTATAGTGGTTAGTAAAGGTGGTTTTTAATCCAGTGATTAAATCCAGTTACCTCAACTGATGTAAAAATATTTCTGTTGTCCAAATCTATGTCAAAGGTATTTGGAGGCAATTTCCTGGTGGTTTTCAGCGTATCAACAAACTGGTAACATTGAACCATCCTTCAACTGTAGACACAGGCAATACCATTTGTTCAGGCATTTGCTCTCTGGGCTTCAGATGTATGAATAAACATGCTCAGGCCTACGATTATCAGAGATGTCACTCAGAGAATGGGCTCCTGCACAACCCCAATAAGGGTCCTAGAAAAATTAAATTTTCAATTGCTTGCTAGAAGTATTTTTGTGACAAATATTGCCTTCTATTTCCCGGTTTTAAGGAACAAGAGGCTACTCAGGGAAAATAAATACAAAGGTCTTCATCAATTAAAAGCTACTTTTTCTAGTTTAAATGGCCTGACATTTTCCCAATGCATAGGTCTGAAAGCTCAATCCAAAGAGTAAATACTACCTCTCAGAAGACTTAGAAAATGATGAATTTAACAACAGACTTCATCCCCATTAGCACATTGAGATTATCTTTATCTTAATAAAGATACATGTATCTTTTTCCCTATGGCATTGGTGCAGGATTGGGAGGGAGAAGTCATAGGACAAAATAAAAGAGAAGAAGACACTTGGACACATTCACCTCCCAATTATTTTTTATTTTTTGAGACAGGGTCTTGCTCTGTTGCTCAGGCTGAGTGCAGTGGTATGATCATGGCTCACTGTAGCCTCAACCTCCTGGGCTCAAGCAATCTTCCTGCCTCCCGAGTAGCTGGGACCACAGGTGTGTGCCACCACTCTTGGCTAATTTTTTAAATTTTTGTAGAGATGGGGTCTTGCCATGTTGCCGTGTGCATTTTCAAGTTTTAACAAACAGAGAAAGTAGAACTTTCTCCTTAGGCTAAATCTTAGGGACACAGGCTTTTGCTTTTACTAAAGTACCCTGTCTTTAGGGGGTAGTCTGACAAATACTAAATCTGAGAGTCTAGGGGCTACTGGACAAATTACATTACAGTTCTAAGGCTGAGTTTCTTTATCTGAAAACTGGGAAGGAGGCTGTACCCTATGCATAGAGCTGATGCTAAGTAACACATTAAGGACAGTGGGTGTGCATAAGGAAAGTGGCATTTAGTGCTACATTGTGATTCTGCTGTTGCACAGGACATGAAATGCTACATACATCATGCAGAGTGTTGAACTACTGTGGAGAATACAAAAAGCCTATCTAGGTGACAAAGGACTTCAAAAGATTATTCAGATTACACCACCTTAGCCTTGACTAATTTCTTTTAAATTTTCTATTTTTTAAAAAATAAAGACAGGGTCTCACTATACTGCCCAGTCTGGTCTTAAACTTCTGGGCTCAAGCTATCCTCCTGCCTCAGCCTCCCAAAGTGCTGGGATTATAGGCATGAGCCACTGTACCCGGCCTTGCCTTGACTAATTTGATATTGCCTCTGGTTCAGCTCTCAGGTCACCTGTTCCCCTTTATACTCATCACAGGGGACACCTCTCTTTCTTATTAATTCAGGATCAATCCCTCTCTCTTCGGCCTTTGAAAGGTGATCTTGTGATTCCATTTTTCCCTCTGGTCTACTTGGCATCTCTTCATCCACTGACTTTCTCCTAAGCCTTCCCTGTTCTGGAAACTTCAGAGGCAACACCTCATGTTCAAATCTTTTCTTGCTCATCCAGTGCTCTGGTTATAGCTTTGTGAATCATCTCTGCAGGCTTTTCCACCTCAATCAAAACAGTACTTTATGTCTTTAATCACTGTATAGCTTCTTCTTCCTCTACCATTCTATCTATCCCTGATATGCTGTTAATTATAATATTTTTTCTCTAAATCAGTACAGTGTTACAATGCAATATGGGAGTGTGAAAGAGGGAGGCTAATTTATTTATTTTGTTTACATTTGCTTCTATTCCTCTACACAAGTCTTCAAGATTTCCTCCCACACTGTATTCTCTGTTTTTACATCTTAACTTTGTTTTGGAAGTGTGGAAATCAGTATTGTCTTGGAGAGAGAACCGGTACAAGCACCAATGTCTTCAGTAGAGATCTACTGGATAAATACTTCCCCCAAAGCAAATCACATAGCAACTGCATTAATAATTCTAACATCTTATGCATTAACTAAATATAAATCAAAAAAATACTAATGAAAAATCTGAAGGAACATCTAGGCTAACCTCAAAGGCTTGAGAGAACAAATGAGAAATTGTGAGGGTGACTTCATGGGAGGAACAGAGTAAAGCAATGAAGAGGCTTGGATTTTGCAGTTGGCTGGCCCAAGCTTGAATTCTGGTTCTACCTCTTATGAACTATGTGATCTTGGGCACATTTTTCAAACTCATTAAGCCTCGAATTCCTCATCTGTAAATTTTGCATATAAAAACATTGTTTGGAATAATATATGTACATCACTTAATATAATGCCTTACCATAAATATTCAATAAATAATAGCTGCTATCATCATGGTGGGTTGAAGGCCCTTAAGGAAAGCTGTCCTACCTTGTTTGGGAGACCAAAATATAGCAGTAGAATCAATAACAAATCAGCATTGAGTTCAGAGCAGCAGAAAGCAGTGCCTGGATTTCATAAAGGTTTAATAAATCCCTGCTGAGTGAATGAATGAAAGGAGAGGGGTAAGTTTCTGCCTCTAACACAGATAATAGGAACCCTCAAAAAGAGGCTTCTTTACAACCTCCTGACAGTGCAGCCTGAGGTGAGTTCTGCTAGTCTTTAGGGAAATATGGGGCTGGGTGCTGTGGCTCACACCTGTAATCCTAGCACTGTGGGAGGCCATGGTGGGAGAATCGCTTGAGGCCACGAGTTTCAGACCTGCCTGGGCAACATAGTGAGACTCCATTCCTACAAAAAATAAAATAAAAAAAATAAGCTGGGTGTGGTGACTCACACTTGTAGTCTCAGCTACTCAACTGAGAAAGTGGACAAAAGTCATACCAAGGACTAAGAGTAATAGTAGCTAAGAATTTATTCAGCACCTGCTGTTCCCAGTATGTGAAATATACTAACTCATTTGGTCTTCAGCGACCTTACAAAGCAACTTAAGATGAAGACAGTAAAGTGCAGATAGTTTAAATAACTTATCCAAGGACACATAAATGAGGAAGAAGGAAATATGGCTTAAAAATATGAAAACAGCGCTAGGCACAGTGGCTCATATCTGTAATCCCAGCACTTTGGGAGGCGAAGGCGGGTGGATGACCTGAGGTCAGAAGTTCAAGGCCAGCCTGGTCAACATGGTGAAACCCTGTCTCTACTAAAAATACAAAAATTAGCCAGGCATAGTGGCGGACATCTGTAATCCCAGTTACTTGGTAGGCTGAAGCAGGAGAATCACTTGAACCTGGGAGGCAGAGGTTGCAGTGAGCCGAGATACTCCGTTGCACTCTAGCCTGGGTGACAACAGTGAAACTCCATCTCAAAATAAAAGTAAAAATGAAACTGGACCCCTTCCTTATACCTTATACAAAAACTAATTCAAGATGGATTAAAAACTTACATGTTAGACCTAAAACCATAAAAACCCTAGAAGAAAACCTAGGCAATACCATTCAGGACATAGGCATGGGCAAGGACTTCATGTCTAAAACACCAAAAGCAATGGCAACAAAAGCCAAAATTGACAAATGGGATCCAGTTCAACTAAAGACCTTCTGCACAGCAAAAGAAACTACCATCAGAGTGAACAGGCAACCTACAGAATGGGAGAAAATTTTTGCAATCTACTCATCTGACAAAGGTCTAATATCCAGAATCTACAAAGAACTCAAACAAATTTACAAGAAAAAAACAAACAACCCCATCAACAAGTGGGCGAAGGATATGAACAGACACTTCTCAAAAGAAGACATTTATGCAGGCAAAAGACACATGAAAAAATGCTCATCATCACTGGCCATCAGAGAAATGCAAATCAAAACCACAATGAGATACCATCTCACACCAGTTAGAATGAGGATCATTAAAAAGTCAGGAAACAACAAGTGCTGGAGAGGATGTGGAGAAATAGGAACACTTTTACACTGTTGGTGGGACTGTAAACTAGTTCAACCATTATGGAAGTCAGCGTGGTGATTCCTCAGGGATCTAGAACTAGAAATACCATTTGACCCAGCCATCCCATTACTGGGTATATACCCAAAGGATTATAAATCATGCTGCTATAAAGACACATGCACATGTATGTTTATTGTGGCACTATTCACAATAGCAAAGACTTGGAACCAACCCAAATGTCCAACAATGATAGACTGGATTAAGAAAATGTGGCACATATACACCATAGAATACTATGCAGCCATAAAAAAGTTCATGTCCTTTGTAGGGACATGGATGAAGCTGGAAACCATCATTCTCAGCAAACTATCGCAAGGACAAAAAAACCAAACACCACATGTTCTCACTCATAGGTGGGAATTGAACAATGAGAACACATGGACACAGGAAGGGGAACATCACACACCGGGGCCCGTTGTGGGGTCGGGGAAAGGGGGGAGGGATAGCATTAGGAGATATACCTAATGTTAAATGACAAGTTAATGGGTGCAGCACACCAACATGGCACATGTATACATATGTAACAAACCTGCACGTTGTGTACATGTACCCTAAAACTTAAAGTATAATTAAAAAAAACAAAATAAAAACAGTAAACTTAACAGTAATCAGAAATATGCACATGTTTAAGAATGAGATAATATTTTTGTCTATCAAATAACTATTTTTAAATAATAGTAATACAGTGGAACTCAAACATTGCTGGCTGTTGGAAGTCTAAATTTAGTATAACCTTTCTGAAAAGCAGTGTATGAATACATATTACTCTTTTAAAAGTAAATACTCAGTAATTATCTTTTTCTGGAATCTTTGTGAAAGAAAAAGATGCACGTAAAATATTTAGGTAAGAGAATGTTCACCATGTGACATATACATGTGTACCTATCTATATTTACATATCGAGATATAGATGTTGAAATATATACACATATGTGTGTATCTATACAAATATGTGCCTGCGTGTATGTGTAAAACAACCTAAATGCCCAACAATGGGAGAAAGTTTAATTATAAAGAGTACTTTAAAAATTATGATATGTAAGCTTGGATTACTTTTTTAATGCCTAAAGAATGATGGAAATTTTAAGTAAGCATGAGCTCTACAAGGCTGCTCCCCAGCCCTATGAGGACTTCTAAATGGTAATGAGTTTATTAATTCACCTGGGGTTCTTGTTAAGATGTGGGTTCTGGCCAGGTGCAATGGCTCATGCCAGTAATCCCAGCACTTTGAAAGGCCAAGGTGGGAGGATCACTTAAGTCTAGGAGTTCGAGACCAGCCTGGCCAACATGGCGAAACCCTGTCTCTACTAAAAATACAAAACAATTAGCCGGGCATGGTGGTGCATGTCTGTGGTTCCAGCTACTGGGGAGGCTGAGGCAAGAGAACCACTTGAATCCAGGAGGCGGAAGCTGCAGTGAGCCTACCCAGATAGTGCCCCTGTACTCTAGCCTGGGTGACAGAGCAAGACTCTACCTCAAAAAAACAAATGAAAAAAGATGTGGTTTCTGAGACTGCATTCCTAACAAGCTCCACGGTAATGCCGGCACTCCTGGTGCAGGGAGCACATTTTGTACAGAAAGGAGTCTAGTAGAAGCCACAAGTGTGGCTATTTAAATGTAACTCAATATTCAATTGTTTAGTTGCCACATTTCAAGTGCTCAATAACCAGGCAGGGCTAGTGGCAACCATATTGGACAGTGCAGATATAAACATTGCCATTATCAGAGAAACTTCTATTGGACAGTGTTGACTAGTGCATGCCAAAAGCAGGACAAAAGACTTCCAGAACTGGGAGGTTGGCAGGTCATTTATCAGTGGGCTCACTTATTATTTTCTGAACAGAAAAGAGATATATCTTGTCCCTTTTTATTTTGATTTTTTGAGACAGAGTCTTGCTCTGTTGCCAAGGGTGGAGTGCAATGGCATGATCTCGGCTCTCTGCAACCTCTGCCTCCCAGGTTCAAGTGATTCTCCTGCCTCAGCCTCCTGAGTAGCTGGGACTACAGGTATGTGCCACCACGCCTGGCTAATTTTTGTATTTTTAGTAGAGACAGGGTTTCATCATGTTGGCCAGGCTGGTCTTGAACTCCTGATCTCAGGTGATCTGCCTGCCTGGGCCTCCCAAAGTGCTGGGATTACAGGTGTGAAACCCCATGCTCGACCCTCTTATCCCTTTTGTCCACTAATGGCCCAGTTCCACCCTCTAACAAGACACAATAAGGAAATATATCTTCTTAAATAAAGTAGTCCTTTCAAAGGCAGCCTATTTTTATGTTTCTTATTGATGCATGTTTCTTCTTAAAAATAAGACCACATCACTGACCTTAGGGGAAAATAATGATTTTTACCTTCCCACAAAAATAAAAATCCTGATGTGAATGCATTAAAAAGATCAAGGTTTAGACTACTGCCACCTATACTACAGCAAAGTACAGGATATTTTAAATATTCAAAAATAATGACAAATCCACAAAAAATTATTAGTAGCACAAACAATATTTGATTCACGGGGAGAAAAACAGAACTAAAAGAAATGAAAAAGTAATTTTTAAATTTGATAGCTTAATTGTAATTTAAATAGTACGCCTCTGGCAAATTTTACTGTAAGACTTAGAAGAATTACCAGAGGCAATTTTTAAAACAGTTATGTAGACCTCATTTTAAGGAATAAACACACTCAAATTTATGTCCTAATACTCTGATCTGGTTTACAGGGCTTTTAAACATTTGAATACTTAACAAAAGAAAAATTTCAAATTTGATCTCAATAACCAGAATGACCTAAGTTAATGAATTTACAGTGATGTTAAATTACCAGTACATTTCAAATGAACACCAGATCCTTTAAGTTCTTGTTGTCACGTGCAGACTGGTTCTCTCTCTTTTTTTTTAAATAGAGTGACTCATGCTGTAACTGTTTAACATGATTACATACTTTAAATATTTTTTCTTCATTATAGAGCATATGGTTTCTGAAATTATGTAAAAAAGACACAAATTATTCATGAAAAACTGGCTTTTGTGCATAATCATATATAACAGGTGTATATTTTAAACACATGAGGGTTAATTAATGAATGTTTGTATTCCTAAAATACTCCTTCAAGTACATTCTAGGAAATAATTTCTGTATACATTTACATTCTTTTATTAAAAAAATAACAAAACCTGGAACTCATTTTCAGGAATGCTTTCCCTAAAATGTTAACACCATTCCTCAAAATACTTTTTTCCTTTTTGGTAGCATATGCTTAAATGCAACTCTTAAATAGTTTGAAAATTCTGTATGAGCCACATGTGATGCAGGCAATAAAAATAGAGAGCAAGGCCTAAATATTGGATGCATTTCTGCATTACTTGTTTCGTAGAAGTTTTCTCTGTGTTATTCTGAAAGCTTATAATTTTGCAATCACTTTCAGTTCCTGGGAACACTGGAATGGAGTCATATCCTACTCTTTTGAAAGTTTTTTTCCATATTGCCAGTGACCCGAGGGCGAAAAACAAGAGACAGAAGTGGGTCTTTGGAAAAATAATGCCCATATTAGTAGAAATGACCATTTTGAAATTTACAATGAAAACTTTTAACTCTCAGAATGGAATTATAGCTATTGTTCATAATCTTACTCCAAAGATTGAAATAAAGACACCAAATTAGGAGCTGTGCGATTTCAACTTGCTGTGTTTACAGGAGAGAGCTCAGTTGCTTTTCAAGAAATTTCTTTCCTCCTGGCCATATGACAAAAAGTGAAATAATCTCATTCTACTGTACCCCCAAACGCACCTAAAAAGGGAATTTCGTTTTCAGTAGAATATGACCAGACGGCCAAAATATATTCTTTAACATAGGTTCGTTTCTTAACAGTCAAACTTAGAATTCTTAAGTCTTTCTAAAATCAAATTAAATTACATCACAATTCAATAAGATATTAAGGAAGCAGAAACATAATTATTAAATTTGAATTGAATTATATACTATTTCAAAGAAGTATATGGTTTAATATAGCTTTCTACAATTTCAAAAATGTATCCCTAACTCTTAAAGTTTAGCTTCATCTTTTATTTGCATACAAGGAACAGGTGACTACATTTACTGTCTGTTTTGCTATGTGTATTGATAAATGTGAATTTTTACATAATTTTATGTCTTGAGAACAATACAGAATCCTAATTAGTTATATACTCTTAATTTAAATACTTTTTTAAACATTTAAGAGAAACATTTCTTACAGTGAGGTTTCACTAACAGTTTACTAAGTATTTACAAATCATCCAAAGTTTTATAACATATACAATTCTCAATTCAATTACTTTTAACTATATTTAACAGATATAATTTCACTAGGAAATCAAGTTTTTTAAAAAAGAATGTAAACTGTCTATAGTTACACTTATAAAACCTTTTAAAAATACCTTTTCAGAAGACGTGTGAAGATATTGAAAACTATTTAAAATCCAAGTTCAAGCACAAAAAATAATTCCGCATATAACAAAATAATATAATTATAAAATGTGTTCATTTCAAACTTTGTCCCAAAGTATTTCAACATTTGTGCTAGTCCCTAAGGGAAAAAAAAAAAATACTATTTGTTTTATATTACTGTTAGTGACAACAAGCACTTTAGTGGAAAGTTTAAAAACAAACTTGGAAATGGTTAAAAAAATGATGAAAAATGTCAGATGTCAATGGGTATATGTTTCTTACCACTTCAGAAGGCTCATCGTCATCGTAGTACATGTTTCGTACACACCTCGAAGTAAATTCTCAGCATGTCCGCTAAGAAATCCTTTCATAGGAAGTTCAAGTGCATTATGACAGTGATACAGTTTCCACAGCTGGAATATAGTGATACTAGTTTCCCACGCTTGGCAATGCTCTTAAAATAGGCTCTCAGACACCAAAAGACAAAAAATGACTATTTGTAAGCACTTCAGGAAATGATGCTCTGGCAAACTGACTGAAAATTCCATAAACAGCCAAAATCAGCTTTTTTTTTTTGAGACGGAGTCTCGCTTTGTTGCCCAGGCTGGAGTGTGCGGTGGCACAATGTCCGCTCGCTGCAACCTCTGCCTCCCGAGTTCAAGTGATTTCCGGCTAATTTTTATATTTTTAGAGACGGGGTTTCACCATGTTGGCCAGGCTGGTCTTGAACTCCTGACCTTAAGTGATTCACCCACCTCAGCCTCCCAAAGTGCTGGGATTACAGGCGTGAGCCACTCTGCCCAGCCCAAAATCAGTCTTCGATGGACTATATTAATTGATTATTAAAAGCAAAATAAACCAAAGAAAGTGCTGGGCCAGGATAATTTTTTTTTTTTTTTTTTTGAGACGGAGTCTCACTCTGTCGCCCAGGCTGGAGTGCAGTGGCGCGATCTTGGCTTACTGCAAGCTCCGCCTCCCGGGTTCGTACCATTCTCCTGCCTCAGCCTCCTGAGGAGCTAGGATTACAGGTGCCCGCCACCACGCCCGGCTAATTTTTTGTATTTTTAGTAGAGACGGGGTTTCACCGTGTTAGCCAGGATGGTCTCGAATTCCTGACCTCGTGATCCGCCCGCCTCGGCCTCCCAAAGTGCTGGGATTACAGGCGTGAGCCACCGCCCTCAGCGAGAATTTCATTCAAGTTTCTGTTTATTTACATGACCCAGACCTAGATGTGGAAAGGCTCCTACATTTGAAAGGTAGAACCAGCCAACATTCCAGTGAGCCAGGTAGATGGGAAAAGAACCCTAATGAACCAGAATGAAATAAGCAAGACTTATTTCTTGTTTATTTAAATGGGTAGAATGGTTTTCTATGAATTTGAAGGGAATGTGAGTGTTTGTGAGAAGTGAGAGGGCTCAGAAACTTCCTGGAATTCCTACCCTCCACAGGCCAAATTGACAGATTCTTACATCCTCAACAAAGATAGTTCTATACATTTCTTTTCTTTCTTGATCTGAGTTTCCTTCACATTGTGAATAATTTGTGTGAGAAAGTATTCACTGAAATCAATGAATGGTTAATACTATACTGTTCTCCAAATAAGGAATAATGGAGGCTCTCTTTTTCAACATTCAGGTAGTATACACTAAGCATGTTGCACTATTCTGTCCCAACGTTATAATCCAGAGAAAATATTTCAGCAAAATATTTAATTTTCCTTCAGCCTCTTAAAAAATAACAATAACCTTGCCAAACATCCTTGTAGTACAAGGACAGGATTTCTGCCCAGAAAGCCATCATGTTTTAATTAGAAATAATTTAAACAAATCCTGGAGAAGCTTATGAGGTTGTATAGATTAAAATACAGTAATGCCCAAAAGAAGCCCAAACTTGGGTGGCATTTGGAATAAAACATGAAGGCAAACTGAATGTAAGAGTCCAAATCGCTTTTATTTGTAAATAATTGGCCGTCACCAAATAACTGTCAAATATGGATGAAGAAAGGTTGAAAATTAAAAAGAGGCCTTAAAGAATCTCTATATTGTCCTCTCATATTCTGATGAGAATGTCAAGGCCAGAGGGGTAAATAACTCGTTCAAAGCCAATCAGCTTGATTGCATGCTGAAAACAAACTAACTCCCAGATGGTGCCCTTAACCAAACTCAGGGGCAGGAAACACAATACAGTGGTTAGCAAAAAATGAGACAAGAGTAAGTTGAACTCAGGAAATGGTCTTAACTATCAACTCAGTCAGTAATTAACTCTGAGGTCCAAGACAAGTGCCTTAACTTCTCTAGACATCTGCTTTCATCCTTAACCCAAGTAGATTGGATTAGATTAATTTATACACCTCTTTCTACTACTAACATTCCAAAATTCTGTGCCTACAAATAAAACAGCACTTGAAAAAAATGCTATCCTAAGTGCAAGAGAAATTGTATGGACTTCTGGATTTTATGATAATTCTTTAATCTCCGATCACTTTTAAACCCTATTATACATACTAACAAGAAAGTAAGCTAAAGAATAATGAAGGAAGAAATATCGCATGGAAAATGACATTTTGGCAGAAAGAGGAAGATTGGGAATGAAGATGAAAGATATCTAAAGCAAGGAGAGGAAAGTAAATTGATACACACAAAAGAAACGGTGGCAACAAATGCACGTCAGAGGTAACAGATGTAGAACAGGCAGGAGATGAAAGAAGAGGGTGAGAAATGTAGAAAGAAAGAGAAGACAAGACCAGAAGAAAAAAATTAAACTGCCTTGGCTGGGCGAAGTGGCTCATGCCTGTAATCTCAGCACTTTGGGAGGCCAAGGTGGGTGGATCACTTGAGGTCAGGAGTTCGAGACCAGCCTGGCTAACATGGTAAAACCCATCTCTATTGAAACCACAAAAATTAGCCAGGCGTGGTGTTGCGTGCCTGTAATCCCAGCTACTCAGGAGGCTGAGGCTGGAGAATTGCTAGAACCCGGAAGACGGAAGTTACAATGAGCCGAGATCTTGCCACTGCACTCCAGCCTGGGTGACAGAGCAAGACTCTATCTCCCAGAAAAAAAAAAAAAATTAGTTAAAAATCCATAACAAATATTGCTATAGAAAACGCATGTAGAAGGCAGGCACCGCGGCTCATGCCTGTAATCCCAGCACTTTGAGAGGCTGAGGTGGGTGGATCACCTGATCACCTGAGGTCAGGAGTTCAAGACCAGCCTGGCCAAAGTGGCAAAACCCCATCTCCACTGAAAATACAAAATCAACTGGGTGTGGTAGCAGGCGCCTGTAATCCCAACTACTCAGGAGGCAAGGCTGGAGAATCACTTGAACCCGGGAGGCGGAGGTTTCAGTGAGCTTAGATTGTGCCATTGTACTCCAGCCTAGGCAACGAGCAAAACATCATCTAAAAAAAAAAAAAAAAAATTAAACTGCCTTCAAGACCCTACTATTCGCAACAGCATTAATAAAAATATTGCCAGTATTAACATTTTTAAAGCAGTTTATGATATAGAATGCACTTATCCAAAATGATCTGTTTTTAAACCAAACCTATTTGATTGGTATAACTATCCTTACTATTTAAAGAAAAAAAAAAAAGAACTGATTTCCAGAGAGGTTAGGTGCCATACCAAGTGTCACACAGCTATAATGAGTATGTTAGACAAAGACCTGAATTCAGACCCTCTGGCTCAGACACTTCCTTTGGCCACATTGTCTAGTCATATACATATTTTAAACATGCTATTAAATACTAGCTTTGAACTGCTAGCTTTGAGCTTACTAGAATAGAAGACTGAAGGGAATGGAAGGTACTGGTAGTTTCATGCTGAACCTTCAGAGAGTGCACACTCTTTGAAAGCATAAGACAGACATGTCAAGAAATAACCAGCACAACAAATACCATATGGCACTGAGGATCAGAGGATGAAGCTTCCATGGGGAACAGAGAAGGCCCCATGGGGCGACAGGATTTCAACCAGGAAGAAAGCGGGGGTGACTGGGTACAAGACATCCTCAAGTGAGTAGACGTGCTGCTTGGTGCTTGTACAGAAACCATAGGTGTTATGTCTGAAAAGCCAAGCCTGAGCCATCCATCCTGTTGAGAGCCTGGAACGCCAGGCTAATACTTTTGAAATTGATCTTGTAAATAATGAGCCATCCCAGATTTTAACACAAGGGGCTGGGATGTCAAAATCTTTATTTAGGAAACCTATTTTACTGTTCATGGGAAGAAAAGCTGGTTAGGAGCTTCTGAGATGTGTGAGCAGAGAAGATGGGGGAGAGGCAACATGTGACTATGACAGAGAGGAGAGACAGGTGGATAAACTGTCTTCAACACAGACAATCAGCTTTTGCTCACAGGTAGAGCCAATTAGCCCAGAGTTAATGAAGTCACTTAATGAAGACCTGGTCTAACATTCTACTTGCATTTCCTTTTCCTTCTTTTGTTTTTCTGTTTTTTTTTAAACAGAGTTTCACTCTGTCGCCCACGCTGGAGTGCAGTGTCAGCGATCTCAGCTCACTGCAACCTCCACCTGCCGGGTTCAAGTGATTCTCTCTCCTCAGCCTCCCAAGTAGCTGGGACTACAGGCATGTGCCACCATTTTTGTACATTTTTGGTAGAGACGGGTTTTCACCATGTTGGCCAGGCTGGTCTCAAATTCCTGACCTCCCGAAGTGCTGGAATTACAGGCGTGAGCCACGGCGCCCAGCCTCTACATGCATTTTCTATGGCAATATTTGTTATGGACTTTTAACACGTTATGGACTTAAAAAATTGATCACCCACTTCGCAGGTTATCATTTTTGCTATTTTTCTTATACTTAAAAGATTTTAAGTCAATTCACCTATGGTGACTTCTGTGTCCATTCTCTAAAATGACAAAAATAGAATACTAATATAATCACTTGGGGGAAAAAAACAAGGAGGAAACAGTAATCACACAATGTAAAGAATTAGAAAAAACTAGTCAAATTTTCATAAATTTTACAAATATCTATTGCTCCTAACAAAACATTTTGAAGAGAGGATCTTTAGAAAACCCTTAATAGCTATAACTGAAACAAAATTCATCATGACTTTTTAGAAATACAAATTAAGTTGAAAATGTTTTAATAAGCATGTTTAAGAAGTCCTTAACAAGAAAAACAATATGGCTGAAAAGAATAGGATGTATGCATGTATACAAAAACACTCGAAAGAGGCTTCAATCATTAGGTGAACCACTGCTAGATAAACTGAGTGTTAATTGTTAAACAAATTGTCTTATATCTGCTACCCATTGGGAAGCTGAGGCAGGAGGATTGCTTGAGCCCAGGAGCTTGAGATCAGCCTGGGCGACATGGGAAAACCTCATCCCTACAAAATATAAAAAATATAAAAAAATGTGTAGCAGTAATAATATGGAAGTTAGAAACAGGGGTTGGTTTTGGGAAACAGCAATTAAGAATGCTACCTTAGGCTGGGTGTGGTGGCTCACGCCTGTAATCCCAGCACTTTGGGAGGTAGAGGCGGGCAGATTGCTTGAGGTCAGGAGTTCAAGACCAGCCTGGCCTAGGTAGTGAAACCCCATCTCTACTAAAAATACAAAAATTTGCCAGGCATGATGGCATGCACCTGTAATCCCCGCTATTCAGGAGGCTGAGATGGGAGAATCACTTGACCCGGAAGGTGGAAGTTTCAGTGAGCTGAGATCATGCCACTTGCACTCCAGCCGGAGCAATAGAGCAAGACTATGTTTCGAAAAAAAAAAAAAAAAAGAATTTTACCTTAGACAGGATAACAGTAATATAACAACCGTGGAGAAATGTATGATAAGCAATTGGACTTATATGACTGGAATTGTTTTTTCTTTCTTTCTTTTTTTTTTTTTTGAGATAGAGTCTTGCTTTGTTGCCCAGGCTGGAGTGCAGTGGTGCGATCTTGGCTCACTGCAACCTCCACCTCCTGGATTCAAGCGATTCTCCAGCCTCAGCCTCCCAAGTTGCTGGGACTTCAAGCATGCACCATCATGCACAGCTATTTTTTTTTTTTTTTTAATTTTTTGTAGAGACAGGGCTTCATTAAGTTGCCAGCTGGTCTTGGACTCCTGGGCTCAAGCGATCCTTCCACCTCAGCCTCCCCAGTTGCTGGGATTACAGGTGGAATTTTTGAAAAGTCTACTTTAGGATGGCTACATAAAGGTAATGGATGAGCCCGGGAAGTAGAGGAGAATGCTAAGACACAGATGCTCCAAGCAGATAAAAGAATAAAGAGAGTTTAAGATAAAACTTAAGGGAACACACACATTTAGTAGATGGGGGAAAAGTCAGAGAAGAATGAGAGGTCATGCTCAGAGAAGTAGGAGGCAGGAAAAAAACCACAATGAGATGAAGGAGGGATGAACAATGAACAGAAAAGAAAGGTCAGCAGGAATTTGAATTGTGGACAAAACCTCTTGGCTTTGATGATTAGGAAGGCATTCATGCTTCTTCCCACAGTGAGTAGGGAATATCACTGGTTTTGCAGCTAAGGATAGGGGAAAGGACATAGATTTTGAAATCAGACAGTCCTGTTCTGCTCCTTGCTGGCTGTGTATTCAGCAGGTGCATAATCTGACACCCCAGATGCAGGGGAATATACAGCCAGCAAGTCGTCTAAGAGGACAAGTTATGGAGCCTGCTCTCCTCACTCATGACTATGTGTGGCCACCATATCTTAGCCCCGTGATCAAAGCTGCCACTTAAAGTTCTGTGCCTCAGTTTTCTTCTCTGTGAAATAAAAACAATAGGTCTGCCTCACAGGACTCTTGTGAGTGATAAGTGAATTATTAGAAACACAGCATAAATATTGCCTTAACAACAAAATAAGGCTGGGTGCAGTGGTGCATGCCTGTAATCCCAGCACTTTGTGAGGCTGAGGCCTGAGGATCCCTTGAAGCCAGGATTTAAGATCAGCCCGGGCAACAAAGTGAGATTCCATCCCTACAAAAAACAAAATTAGCCAGGTATAGTGGTGCACACATGTAGTCCCAGCTACTCAGGAGGCTGAGGCAAGAGGATCGCTTGAGCCCAGGAGTTTGAGGCTGCAGTAAGCTGTAATTATTGCTCTACTGCACTCCAGCCTAGGCAACAGAGTGAGACTCTGTCTCTTAAAATAAACCTAAACTGAACTCTTTGTGCCTCAGTTTCCTCCTTTATATAGGAGAGGAGGCAGCACCTATTTCTGAGGTTGTTGGAATAACTGATGTCAAAGAAACTTCAAAGTTCATTCCCCTGTTCTTACAATGTTGATTCATCGGCAGTTTATTGATGTCTTTCCTGAGCACCTGCTCTGTGTGACGCTGGATCACCCTATGCTCCTGTACTGTTCTTACCCGCCCTCCCCAGTATAGAGTCCAGTTCCTATGTTTATGGCTTAATTTGAATATAGAATAGTTTAATTTCCTCTTTGCACTCGTGGCTCAATTTACAACCCAGGACTCTTTAGTACCACTCACGACAGCAATAAGCATAAGCATAAAAGTTAATCTTAACATCAAAATAATTCAAAGTACAATAATTAAAATTCAAGAGATGTGGCCAAGAAACATGCCAGTTTAAGAACATCTCACACTGGGGACTGCTGGGGGGTGGGGGGCTAGAGGAGGGACAGCATTAGGAGAAATACCTAATGTAGATCACAGGTTGATGGGTGCAGCAAGCCACCATGGCATATGTATACCTATGCAACAAACCTGCATGTTCTGCACGTGTACCCCAGAACTTAAAGTATGAAAAAGAAAAAAAAAAACAAAACAGAATGTTACTTATAAGCTTCAGGCTGGGTGTGGTGGTTCATGCTGGTAATCCTAACACTTTGGGAGGCCAAGGTGGGTGGATCACTTTAGGTCAGGAATTCAAGACGAGCCTGGCCAACATGATAAAATCTCATCCCTGCTAAAAATAAAAAAAAATTAGCCGGGCATGGTGGCACACACCTGTAGTCCCAGCTACTCTGGAGGCTGAGGTGGGAGAATCACTTGAACCTGGGAGGCAGAGGTTGCAGTGAGCCGAGATGGCGCCACTGCACTCTAGCCTGGGTGACAGAAGGAGACCCTGTGTCAAAACAAACAAACAAACAAAAAACAAAACAAACATTACTCACAAACTCCAAATATCATTCCCACATCTATTTATTTATTTTTGTGGGGGTAGGCTTCTCAATGGACACGGGATATTTTAGTTTAAGGTTATGTCTGCAAAATAGGTCCCTAAATAACGTAGAAGTTAAAAAAAAAAGAAAATGGCTATCAGTATTTCAGTGGTTATTAAAACCCCCAACATGTTACTTTTCCATCATGACAATTTGTGTCACTATTTGCCAGTTAAATTCAGGCCTGTATTAAAGCTGACATAACATTTCCCAGGAAACTGCTACATAAAAAAGATTGCATAAGAGAAAAACGCCATGTAAAGTTTTTCTAATATGGCCATATTTATGAAAAGAACAGCAGCAACAACAAAACCCCTGAATTTAAATGTTTTGGTCTGTGATGCTGTATTGACAGACACAAGAAATCTATAAATAACCAAGTTATTTATTTTCAGGCTCTCATTTTATTCTATTGTTTGTTTCTTAAGGGCAATTCACACTTCTTTGTCATCAAACTGAATTCCTTCCACTGCTTTTTATTTCCTAGCCAGCTTTGTCTATCATACTCTATTGCTCTATTTATATGGTAAGTATTCTGAGTTAAAAAAAACTTGGCATGTCTCAAGCACAGCCACCTTGTACCTGTATAGGAAAACCAGATGTCATACTGCAATCACAAAGCAGTTCCAGAGAGAGAGAGAGAGAGCGAGAGAGAGAGAGAGAGAGAGAGAGAGAGAGAGAGAGAGAGAGAGAGAGAGAGAGCGTGCTCATTAGAAAAGGAATTTCCCTCATTCATTGCTGTATTCCTAGGTTCTAGAACAGCAGGTAGCATATACTAGTTGCTCAGTAAACATTTATACATTGAATAGATGGGCCAGGCATGGTGGCTCACACCTGTAATCCCAGGACTCTGGGAGTCTGAGGTGGGTGGATCACTTGAGGCCAGGAGTTTGAGAACAGCCTGGCCAACATGGTGAAAACCCATCTCTACTAAAAACACAAAAAAATAGCCAGGCGTGGTAGCGCGTGTCTGTGGTACCAGCTCCTCAGGAGCCTGAGGCAGGAGAATCACTTGAACCTGGGAAACAGACATTGCAGTGAGCTGAGATCGTGCCACTGCCCTCTAGCTTGGGTGACAGAGTGAGACTCTGTCTCCAGTTAATCAATCAATTGAATGGATGAATGTGTTTTCCTGTTTCTGCGTATTCCTTTCCATTCACTCATTCGTTTATTCCTTCTTTAAATATTTGCCATGCACTGCGACAATGATGTGCTGGATGTTGAGGCTTGTATAGTAGATGAGGCAAATATGATTCCTGCCCGCCATGCAGGAGGAGCTTAAGGAGTTTATCGTCTAAACTAATGGGTCCCCAAAAGGAGTGTTCCAGAAAGGTACTGCTGGATTTTTGGTTGTTTCAATGACTGAGAAGCATTACAGGATGCTTGTACACAGTGGCTAGGAATACACCTGTTTGCATTTTACACAGCAATCCTATGTGATTATAAGATGGATGTGCACCTCCTCTCACGATCTTTGACTATCCTGCTGGAATTCATGTGGGCGAAAAATATAAAATTATCTGAACCTAGAATCTAAATCTTTTTTTGGATATGAGTACAAGTCTTTTCGCATAGTTGTAAAATATACTGAATTTTCCAGAAATGAAAGTACTGTGACAATCAATGAAAGATTGTACTTTGTTTGGAACTTTACCAAATTGTTAACTATTGTCTTTAATAGCCGCACACCTGTAGGTGTACATCACCGCTAATCCGTCCATGCAGTGGCCCTATCCATGGAACTGCTTCCTCACATTTTCTAGTGTGGTTATGCCAGCATAATAACCCATTGAAATACACATTACCAGAGAATAAATTAATCTTTTTATTCATTGGGTCAGTATTTTGACCCAAATGGTTTTTAAAAATTTGTGTGTTGGTTGTTTGCATTAACTATACATTTCACTTCAGGATGATAAAGGACGAGTGCTGAAATACAGGTAAAAGAAATTGAGTCAGCCGGGCGCGGTGGCTCACGCCTGTAATCCCAGCACTTTGGGAGGCCGAGACGGGCGGATCACGAGGTCAGGAGATCGAGACCATCCTGGCTAACACGGTGAAACCCCGTCTCTACTAAAAATACAAAAATTAGCCGGGCATGGTGGTGCGCGCCTGTAGTCCCAGCTACACGGGAGGCTGAGGCAGGAGAATGGCGTGAACCCGGGAGGCGGAGCTTGCAGTGAGTCGAGATCGCGCCACTGCACTCCAGCCTGGGCGACAGAGCGAAACTCCGTCTCAAAAAAAAAAAAAAAAAAAAGAAATTGAGTCTGGGCCAGGCACAGTGGCTCAAGCCTGTAATCCCAGCACTTTGGGAAGCTGAGGCAGGAGGATCGTTTGAGCCCAGGAGTTCGAGACCAGCCTGGGCAACATGGGGAAACCTCACCCCTACAAAATATAAAAAAATTAGCCAGGCATGGTGGCATGTGCCTGTGGTTCCAGCTACTTGGAGGCTGAGATGGGAGGATTGCTTGAGCCCTCGAGGTCAAGGCTGCAGTGAGCTGCAATCATGTCAGTGCACTCTAGCTTGGGCAATAGAGTAAGACTCTGTTAAAAAAAAAAATGAAGGAGAAAAAGAGACGAGAGGAGAGAGGATCAAAATGTAAACTGCTGGTCAAATAATTACATTTATACGAAGCAAACTGGGTGATGTGAATAATGGGAGAAGCTCCTTTGTGCAATGTAGTCAGGAAAAGCTTTTCTGCAGAACCACAGAGATGTTTAGGATCAAAGTAAAGGGCAGGGAGGAATATTCCAGGTTTAAAATAATAACAACAACAATAATAATAATCCAGCAAGACCAGAAAGGTGGAAAGAAGTTGGCTTGCTGGAGAAAGTGAGGAAAATAAGCAGTGATGATGAGGTGGAGTGAGACAGAGCACAGGGTATAGACAGTGGGCTTCCTGATGGTGCCCAGAGCTAGCGTGATGCAAAGTGGGTGCTGGGCAGTTGGGATAGTTGCATGAATGAAGCATCAGAAAAAAGCAGGAGCAGAGGCCCAGCCTATGGCAGCTTCATCCTTGAAGGAATCAAGATGGGTAAGCAATATTACAGCGGGGAAGGTGGGAAGGGAGGGCTGTGTCAATGCATGGGGCAGTGGGCAGAGATCCAGGTCTCCTGGGACCTCCAGGGGCCTGCAGCCTTGGGGTGCCAGAGTCTCCGTGGAGCAATCCTTACAGAAACCTTCCAGAAAGTTGTGGGGTTTTTTGCATATTTTATGTGCATGTTAGTTGACTCGGACATTACAGAGGAGAATAAAAAATCAGAGGCCGGGCATGGTGGCTCACGCCTGTAATCCCAGTGTTTTGGGAGGCAGAGGCGGGTGGATCATGAGGCCAGGAGTTCAAGACCAGTCTGGTCAAGATGGTGAAATCCTGTCTCCACTAAAAATACAAAAAAATGAGGCAGGCGTGGTGGCAGGCACCTGTAATCCCAGCTACTCGGGAGGCTGAGGCAGAGAATTGCTTGAACCCAGGAGGCAAATGTTGCAGCGAGCCGAGATCGCGCCACTGTACTCCACCCTGGGCGACAGAGCAAGACTCTGTCTCAAAAAAATAAAAAAAAAAAAAAAAGAGAAAAATCAGATCAAACTTGCAGAGCCTAATCAGCTGGGCTTATGGCAGATACTTTTGTGATTATAACTAGGACTGAATGTTAGCAGCAGCTCTGCAATAGCATCAAAAAATTAAATAAAGGCCACATTTATTCAAGTGTCGTAATCATTTGTGTGATATCATTCATGATCCTGAGAACAAATCATAGCTCACACTAACACCAAATCGTTAGTTACATATAGAAGTCCCATTTTTAAAAAAACGACGATACATTTTTCTTTTCATTATAACAACTTTTTTCTACCTAGGTTTATACCTGGAAAAGAATAACTACAAGTAATGTTTGTAAAAGATAAGCTTCTCATCCAGAACTCCAAAATCTAGAAAGCTCAAATAACAAGAAATGATAGAAGTACTATGTTAAGCACCCTGAAACACTTAGAGTGTACATGCAGAGTATCCCTTACCTGAAATGCCTGGGACAGAAGTGTTTCAGATTTCAAATTTTATTTGGATTTCGGAATATTTGCATGTATGTAATGAGCTACATTGGGGATGGAACTCAAGTCTAAATACAACATTCATTAATGTTTCATGTACACTTTATACATATAGCCTCAAGGTAATTTACATGATATTTTAAATAATTTTGTGCATGAAACAAAGTTTGTGTACGTTGAACCATCAGGAAGCAAAGGTGTCTCTAGCCTACGTAAGTACTCAAAAAGTTTTGGATTTCGGATTTTTGGATTTGGAATGCTCAACCTGTAATATTGAGCTTCAGATGTGACTTTGAAGAAAGAAACCACACATGGTTTTATGGTTGTGCTTTAGGTTAATTCTCTGAACCCTGCTGACCCCTGTGTAGATTATGCAGATATTTTCAGAACCGGAAAAGCTACTGCCCATCACCTGCTCTGCCAGACTTCTCAGAAGTCCCCACTCCTCTGTTGTTGGGCCTGCTGGGTCCTGAGACTCCTCTAAAGATAGTTCCCCCATCCCTATAGTTGTAATTGAGAAACAAACATACAAGCAAAAACAGCAACAACAACAACAAAAACACCACAAAATAACCCTAGCTTTCCTTTCAGCCTTCATCTTCTGTGACCTCAGCTTCATCCAACACAATCAACCACACCATGACATCTGGCTCCTCTCTAGGCCCCACCATAACTGTCTTGCGCTCGGCTGCCATGTTTCTCTCCCCAGGACTCTTCCAACAGCCTTCTGACCTTTTCAAGGCCAGCACAAGTTGGTGGAAGGGTGGAGAGTTGGGTGGTGGTTGGGACCAGGCACAGTGGAAAGTTCTCATAGGACCTCACCAAGGAGACTCTTCCCAAGACAGGCAAGCAGTTTAAGGGCCCAAGTCAGGAGGAAAAAAAGGAGCTAACACTTAACAAGTGTTTGTTAAATGATTAATACCTCATTATCATACAGTGCTTTGCTATTTTTAAGATTTTCAAATTATATTTGAGCCTTGAGGTCTATAGGGGTCATACATCATTATTACTCCAAATGAAAAGATAAGCAAATTGACTCTCAGGGATTTGACTCTGGATAATTTGTCCAATGTCACCCAGCTAATTAAGGCCTACTATAGTTTTTTGACAGACTATACATTCCATTTAAATACTATAAAGTACTCATCAAGCTACTGGACACTTGCTGGTATTAATGAGTGCCAAGCTTTTTCAAATATTCACCAGAATATGAGTTTGCCCAATGGCTAGTAAGATTTATTGTTTATACTAGAAAGAAAACTTTGCTCATACTATTTCCTTATAATGCCTTTGGGCAAAAAAAATAGATAATGGCTTTTGTCAGAGTTAGCAGACTAAACAGATACATGTGATGAACCGGAAGCCCTCAGCTGCCATAGAGCAGTATAAAGAAAGTTTTTCAGAACTAAGCTGGTAATCCAAATTTATACTCTCAAATTGGATTGCCATGAATCAGAAATGCTAATAGTTCATAACCCCTGGAATATTGTATTCTTTCTTATCAACCATGTGCCTTATTATTCCCTCAAATTAGAGTCTTTGGTTAATTTTACTTTGATGTGTACCTTATACTGAATCAACGTAGATCGGCGAACTGTGAAGAAATGCTTACATATTTTGTTTATATCATAAAGTTACAGAGTTAAAAAGAGTTGAGAAGGCCTATGTCCTTAACTAAGACTTTTCCAAGTCCATACAAACGTACGTTTCATATAGAATCATAATTTTTTTTTTTTTTGGAGACAGAGTCTTGCTCTGTTGCCCAGGCTAGAGTGCAGCAGCACAATCTCAGCTCACTGCAAACTCTGCCTCCCAGGTTCAAGCGATTCTCCTGCCTCAGCCTCCAGAGTAGCTGGGATTACAGGTGCCCACCACTGTGCCCGGCTAATTTTTGTATTTTTAGTAGATATGGGGTTTCACCATCTTGGCCAGGGTGGTCTCGAACTCCTGACCTTGTGATCCACCTGCCTCGGCCTCCCAAAGTGCTGGGATTACAGGCATGAGCCACCGCACCTGGCATAGAACCATAAATTTTTAAAGCCCAATTCTAATTTTAAAACATGTAGAATTAAATGTAGGCCACATTATTGTATAGCAATCATATTTCTCTAATAAAAGATTTCTTTCATTATCCTTTTTCTGAACAGATCACATTTTCCTGCTACCAGACATAATATTTCATGAATAAGAAAAATAACTTTATTAAAGTATTCTATAATTTATAGCTTTACTAGAGGTGATGTAATACATTTGATGGATTCAAAATATGCTCACATATTCTGTTCACAGCTTTTATTGATACAAACATATATGTTCCTTCATTTGCCCAGAACATGAGAAAATCCAATATACTAATAATTCCAAATTGTGCTACATATTACATGTAAAGCATTCTCCCTTAAAAATGTCATATACTATGAAATGCTACGAAGCATGTTTCCTCTAAGTGTTCCTTGAAAAACATTTTTGCAACGAAACCTATGCAGTCCCTTGTAATTCATATAACAATTAAGTACGCACTTTTGAAAAATGACATCTAATTAATAGAAACTCTTCCAAAGCAACAAGTGGGTAGCAAAACTAAGTAAACAAGAGTGCTTAAAAATGGAACTCCTGGAATGCTTTTAAACCATGTTACTTGCTTATCATTCACTGATTATTCCTGGTTTCTCTTTTCTTTCTCTATTTATCAACCCTACTGTTCCCTATTTCAGTACTCTTCCATGATAACATTAGACTAAATTCCACAACCTAAGAGCTTTCATACAGTGGTGACATGTGCTATCTTCATAGCCCTGTATGATAAAGTAATTATGTTCTGTTGGTGTTGTAAGAATTAAGGAGATCAGATGCCATGCTTTTTCCCTGCTTCACAGAGGAGCCCTGTCATGGGACGTGATGCGTGGAAGTCCACTCAACTCATGCGATCAGAAAGGTAACAGGATTATCAGAATATCAAATATCTTACCCTTATATAAGGATAAGAATGAAGTACGCAGAGGCTGGCTTGGATGCAAAAATGTACTTTTAAGTTGTACTTTTAGGTTGAATGCCTATTCATCTTGGGCATTGCATTGAACACGCAGAAGAAATAGACCTGTCAAAATATCATCTGTCAGAGCTCTGCAAACAGGTCAAACATCCTTTTTAGGAGACTCTGAACACGCCTTGAGAGAGCAGCAGGAGTGTAGAACATTTGAAATTCTCTATGTCTATATATGTGTTTTAAATGTCATCACTCTCTTCCTTTGGTTTGCAAAAACTGTCACCCATTTTGACTTGTTGAATCAATGAATTCATCAGGAAAAAAAGCCTCTAATAGAAATCACACTTTAAAAGAGACTTTCTCTAACTTTGAAAGCAATACAACCAAAGAATCTTAAATTATGTGAAAAACTTTCCTAATTCTGTAATTAAGAACCAATCTAGTTTATTATGCTGAACTCAATTCATTTTGTTTCCTTTTGTTCCAGATTAAGGGCAGAGAGGAAATTATGCAAATACACTGGGTTGGAAATTATTTCTCTCGGCTTGTACAGACCATCTGGTTTTCCATGGTAGAGTGAAAAAGGCAGAAAACGGTAACAATAGAATAACATGTGTTTTCAACAAAATCCTTAAGAATGCTTTGAAATTTCTGGATGTAGCAAATCATTTTCCAGTTCATCATCTCACCCAATTAAAAAATATAGGTAGAAGAATGTAAAGAGACAGTAATCATTGTATATAGCAGATCACTGAATACGTAGTATATTGCAGAATCAGAAAAGATCTCTAGCACAGTCCAATTTCCCCAAGCACCTTCTTTCTTGCCTTATGATACTTTATCACAGAATTAATTGTCTTCTCATCTGTAATACAACATGATGACGGGATACAGAATATATTTAGTCCTAAGCCTATATTTGCAAAAGAAACATATTTTAAAGATCCCAAGAAAGCCTGATGAGAAATCTGGTTATAAATACACATTTTAGCAAAAAAGAAAAAAAAAAAAAGAAAAGAAAGGGTGTACATGTGATCTTTATAAAAATATATTTACTTTGTTTTTATATACATTCTCCTGTGAGAATGACTCTATGCTATTGTTTTTCCAAAAAGTAGCTGGCATATAATAAGAAAAAAGCAGCTCATTTAAAAAAATTCTAGTTGATCATTCTAGAAGATTGAAAACTATGTTAAGAAAAGTTACTTGTTTAGAGAAGATTAAAAATGGTTTTTAACTGTGATAGATGACGGCTTGAGCTCAGGAGTACAAGGCCACAGTGAACTATGATTGTGCCACTGCACTCCAGCATGGACGGCAGAACGAGACCCTGTCTCAAAAACAACCACCACCACTAAAAAACCAAACAGAAAATGGTTTTTAAAACACAAGTTAATTTTAAGATGATCTTGGTATCACACCCATGGGGTGATTTTCATGAACTCTGCCTAGGAAATAAACAGCTGGCCTTTTGTTCTGCTGCATGAAGGCCTGCCAGGTCTGGTGGACTCCTGGAGGGCTGATGGGCAATCTCACCTCCTGCTACAGGACCTGCAGGGTTCAAGGTCAAGGAGGTACCCCTGGGTGAAGATTAAGGGAACCTAAAGCGCTACTCCTGAGGGAACGTCGGCTGCTCTAGCAGCTGGGGCCATTAGAAAGTGCAGTCACCAGAGGCAAAACAAACAAAAACAACAAGGAGGCACAGGCAGTGCTGTGTGGGCTGCGTGCATGGAAGAGGCTGCCCTTTTGCTTCCAATTCCTGCTTTTTCCACGGACACCTGTGGGACCCCACGCTAGTGACAAACTTGACTGTGCTGAGATGCTTTATCTGCCAACTAGAGATGATCATGTGTCTACTTCACTGGGTTGTTATGAGAATTATTATTATTATTTTTATTATTTTAAAAAAATTTTTTTGAGACTGAGTTTTGCTCTTGTTGCCCAGGCTGGAGTGCAATGGCACAATCTCGGCTCACTGCAACCTCCATCTCCTGGGTTCAAGCGATTCTCCTGCCTCACCCTCCTGAGTAGCTGGGATTACAGGCACTCGCCACCATGCCTGGCTAATTTTTTGTATTTTTAGTAGAGACAGGGTTTCACCATGTTGGCCAGGCTGGTCTCAAACTCCTGACCTCAGGTGATCCACCCACCTCGTCCTCCAAAAGTGCTGGGATTACAGGCATGAGCCACCGCACCCAGCTGTTACGGAATTAAAAATAATAATAATAGATATAAAGCATTTGGCCTCATGCAACATACGTGCGCAATACAGGTGGGTTTTTATTAAATTGTATTTTAAGCATTGTGACAAAATATGCATAACATAGGATTTACCATTTGAGCCAATTTTAAGCATACAGTTCAATGGCATTGAATACATTCACATTATTGGGTAGCCATCACCATCTTCTGTCTCCAGGATCTTTTTTTTTTTTTAAATCATCTCCAACTGAAAGTTTGTCCCCATTAGACACTAACTCTCCACTCCCCTCTTCTCCCAGCCCCTGGAAACCACCATTCTAGACTCTGTGAGTCTATTCTAGGTCCCTTATATAAGTGGGGTCATTCTGTATTTGTCTCCTTGTGTCTGGCTCATCTCACCTAGCAGATTGTCATCAATTTTAATGGCATTTTGAGCCAGGTTTATGCTGCTGGAATGGAAAATGGTCCCAGAGAAGTCAGGCAAACTCAGTTGTGGAAATTAAACCAATATATATTTTCTCAGCCTAAAAGCAGATACTGCATCAACAATTGGACCCATTATTCTTCACACTCGCTGTGGTCTATTAACTTAGGTCATTGTAGTATGCCGGAGCTCCGGGAAAACGGTTCTTTTTAGGTCTCTTTAAACAAACGACTTTCAACAACATTTTCACCAACCAGTTGTTCCAGCCACAGCATCACATCCTTCAAATAGAAGCGGTCAAGTGGAGGCTGTATGGGGAACTCTGAATCTTATCACACCTCCTGCAATGTCCTGTGAATGCCCACCCTTCATATGAAGAACAAAGAAGTGAAGAAAGGCTGAGGTCCCTTTGTTCTGTTTGGTGGGACTCATTCTGTCACTCGGGCTGGAGTGCAGAAGCACGATCACAGCTCACTGCAGCCTCAACTTCCGGGAGTCAAGTGATCTCTCACCTCAGCCTCCCAAGGAGCTGGGATCACAGGCACACACCACCACATGTGGCTGATTTTTAAAATATATTTGTAGAGACAGGGTCTCCCTATGTTGCCCAGGCTGGTCTCAAACTCCTGAGCTCAAACGATCTTCCCACCTTGGCCTCCTAAAGTGCTAGGATTACAGGCATCAGCCATCTTGCCTGGCCTAGTTCTGAGGTCTCTTTAAAATATAAACTTTGTATCTGGGCACAGTGGCTCAAACCTGTAATCTCAGCATTTTGAGAGGCCAAGGCGGGTGGATCACCTGAGGTCAGGAGTTCCAGACCAGCCTGGCCAAACTGGTGAAACACCATCTCTACTAAAAATACAAAAATAGCCGGGCATGGTGGTGCACACCTGTAGTCCCAGATACTCGGGAGGCTGAGGCAGGAGAATCAGGAGGTGGAGGTTGCAGTGAGCCGAGATCAGGCCACTGCACTCCAGCCTGGGTGACAGAGCAAGACTCTGTCTCAAACAATCTATCTATCCACCTATCCATCCATCTATCTGTCTGTCTGTCTGTCCATCCATCTGTCCATCCGTCCGTCCATCCATCCTTTTTCTGAGTTCAAATTTAGCCCATATAACCACCTTGGGCCTCTGTATTCCAGCTACAGTGCCAAACATATGTATCTTAATTAAATCATTTTAAAGAGACATTTGACAAAATTATTCTCTAATTGTTGTCATTCAGTAAGTATTCTAAATTGAACTGAATTCCACAATTTCCAAATTTTCAACTGATCTTTTACCCGGAGAGTTCTTTAAATATTTATGTCTACAATGCAGAAATTCATGATTTCTCAAAATGTACATCGTTGCAAACGTGTTTTTATCTTGTTATGTTATCCAAGTAAGTGGCAATTTCGTCAACAGAGGCCACATTTAACTTCACCTAGATAGTACTCAGCATATCACATGTGAGTCATTAAAATTTTGGGCAATATCATGAGGCTCTTCTTTTTTCTATATTGTTATATTTGGGTGGATATACACGTTTTTTAAAAGAATGCCCAGATATCAAATCAGCATTAATTATTCACAGCCCACTGTAAAAGACTTGGAAGTTGAGCTGTGCACGACGCTCAAAACCTTCTGATGTAGAATTTAGCCTTGAAAAATTCCTTTCAAGTGTTTATATTGAACATTAAATCTCATTAAGCGAAGTCACGAAAATAGTCCTCAACCTGGGTCCAACAGAAAGGATCTCAGGCTCATCAGATTTCAGGTTGCAGAAATACCTGTGTTGTTAGAAACATGGTCTCAAGATTCAAGGTACATTCCTTAAGTAATTACTCAGGCTTCAAAGTAAAGACAAAACTAGGGACAGCTATTCTCAGATGCTTTAAGGATACTGCATTACCTGTATAGGCTTTTATAGCCTTCCAGACAGAGCAGTAGAGAGATAAAAATTATTGCCTTCATTGTATAGGGGGAAAAAAAAAAGCCTAGAGATGTTAATCAACTTGCTCAAAAACTAAGGAGCCAGTGCTAGAATTAAGAATAAAATCTTGGCTGGGCATGGTGGCTCAAGCCTGTAATCCCAGCACTTTGAGAGGCCAAGGTGGGCGGATTGCCTGAGCTCAGGAGTTCGTGACAAGCCTGGGCAACTTGGTCTCTACTAAAATACAAAAAAAAAAAAAAAAAAAAAAAAAAAAATTAGACGGGCATGGCGGCATGCGCCTGTAGTCCCAGCTACTCAGGAGGCTGAGGCAGGAGAATTGCTTACATCTGGGAGGCGGAGGTTGCATTGAGCCAAGATCTCACCACTGCACTCCAGCCTGCCAGCCTGGGTAACAGAGAGAAACTCCGTCTCAAAAATAAAATAAAATAAAATAAAATCTTGTTCTTGTCCTTTCAGTGCAGTCAGATATGTCCATCCTATCATGTTTTCAAATCAAAGCCTTTTTCTTCTATTAAGAAGACTAGGCGGCACAGAACAGTATGAAACAGACTTTCTAAAAGGTGCACTTTTATCAATGAGTATGGCCCCTTCTGACTGACAGCAGCAGGTCTATTTTGTGTGTTGGCAGCACAATTAAGGATCTTAGATGTGATTTCACGGGTCAGGTTTTTCTCTTCTCTGATGTCCAAAAAGCCACTAACAGGCCAGGTGCAGTGGCTCACACCTGTAATCCCAGCACTTTGGGAGGCCAAGGAGGGTGGATCACTTGAGCTCAGGAGTTTCAGACCAGCCTGGGTAACAAAGTGAAACCTTGTCTCTACGAAAAACACAAAAATTAGCCAGGCGCGGTGGCACATGCCTGTAGTCCCAGCTACTCGGGAGGCTGAGATGGGATGATGGCTTGAGCCTGGGAGGCGGAGGTTGCAGTAAGCTGAGATCATATCGCTGCACTCCAGCCTGGGCGACAGAGTGAGACCCTGTGCCCCCCGAGCTCCCCTCCTCCCCCAAAAAAGCCACTAACATTAACAAAGCTAGGTAACTGAACAAAGGTTGAAGGAAAAGTGATGACTATTTGTGAATTAACAAATGACATGATATTACATTAAGATCAAAATACTAGCAGATCCCTTACCAGAAAACCATATAGAAAGTTCCAGTTCTGGCCGGGTGCAGTGGCTCACGCCCGTAATCCCAGCACTTTGGGAGGCCGAGGCGAGTGGAACTCGAGGTCAGGAGTTTGAGACCAGCCTGGCCAACATGGTGAAAGCCCGTCTCTACTAAACATACAAAAATTAGCCAGGCGTGGTGGCGGGCACCTGTAATCCCAGCTACTCAAGAGGCTGAGGCAGGAGAATCGTTTGAACCCGGGAGGCAGACGTTGCAGTGAGCTGAGATCGCGCCACTGCACTCCAGCCTGGGAAACAGAGTGAGACTCCACCTCAAACAAATAAAAGAAAGTTCCAGTTCTCCACCTCTTAAGAGGAGAGTGGAAGATCTCTGAATGGCCACTGGAGGGGGAGCCCTGCAGGAAGCTACAAAGGCACAGGGTCTCTGCCAGGCCCTGCCAGCCCTGAAACAACAGAAATGTGATGATATGTTGGCTTGTGCTGCCCCTGACAATGTAAAATCTATGAACAGAAAGGTGAGACAGAATGCACTTTTCATACTAAGCGTGCTTCGGTCAGATGTGACCTTTTCCTTATTCTCCGTAATGGTTATTAGCTCCCTGTCAAAAATAAGTGAGATATCTGAATAAAGTCAAAAGCTTTTTGCTCCACATTCCGAAACTGAGGTTTAATCCTGTGACTAGTCTATCTGTTGATTTCTAATTATGCGAATACTCTATTTCTTCAAGCCAACCTCTAGAGATACCAGTAGGGTATTAGAATATAAATTTAAGATAAATTTATATGAAAGACAGTATTTTGATAGCATAGTATTGGATAGGGGAAAAACTATTCCACAGTTAATTCTGTAAGGATTGTTTTTGTTTTGTTTTAGGGAGCGGAGTGTGTTTAATAGGAAAGAAAGAAGGAAGAAGCTCCCCCATACAGAGACAGACGGATGGGAGTTCCAAGGTGAGAGAGGGAAAGCCTGTTAATATCCAACAAATAAAAAGTAACTTATTAATCTAAATGCAGGAAGCCTAATGAAACAATTCGCACAGAAATACAGAGAGTATATAAATATTCACCTTCAGTAGTAATCCACTAAACAGAAATTAAAACAATGCTGTATAACTATTTACATGAAAAGCAATCATTAATACATAATACTGCATACATTGTGATAAAATTAGTATATGAATAATACTGGCATTGTCCACTGGTAGAATTTGGAAAAAAAGATATCAAAAGCATAGCCAGGGACTTATAAGAACATTCAAACCCACTCACTGTGCAAATAATTCCACATCTGATAATTTATCTCAAATAAGTTATTTAATGGAGCTGAAAACCATATGTTCAAATTTGTTATAGATTTATCTATGAAAACAAAATTATAAAATCAATTAAAAAGTCCAAAAATAAATGACCATTTTATTGGACAATCAATGGCAGATCGTCACGATGTTATATTATGCTGATTAAACAGTGATCTGATTAAACAGTGATCTCAAAATAAGGTTGAAGGAAAAAAGGCAGAACCCACAACTGTCTGAACACTGCAGTTACAACTATAAAAATATGTATGCTTGTAGAAAAGAACTGCAGTACAATATGCCAGCATAAAAATATCTGACCACAGCATGGTGAGCTTGTGGGGTATTCCTACACCCACATTCCTTTAATATTTCTTCTGTTTTATTTTATTTTATTATTTTATTTTGAGACGGAGTTGTTGCCCAGGCTGGTGTCGTTCAGGCATGAGCCACTGCCCCCAGCCAATTTCTTCTATTTTTAGTGGTAAAAACTTTAATTACTTTGAAGGATAGAGCTCTTTTCACACCTGTAATTCCAGCACTTTGGGAGGCCGAGGTGGGTGGATCACCTGAGGTCAGGAGTTCGAGACCAGCCTGACCAACATGGTGAAACCCCGTCTCTACTAAAAATACAAAAAAAATTAGCTGGGGTTGGTGGAGGACGCCTGTAATCCTAGCTACTTGGGAGGCTGAGGCAGGAGAAACACTTTAACCAAAAGGTGGAGGTTTCAGTGAGCCAAGATCATGTCACTGCCCTCCAGCCTGGGTGACAGAGTGAGACTCTGTTTAAAAAAAAAAAAAAAAGTTTTGTCAATTTTAATAATGAAAATAACTGCAAATCTCTATTGCGACTGCACAAAATGACTCTTTCCACAAACTGATCGTTTTATGGGGCAAAGTAAAATCAAACAGGATGGCTCCTCTTGATGCTGAAGCCAGCATCTCCATGTACATACATTAGCCACCAGGCCTTATGGACATTATACTTACATTTAAATACAAATTATATCTGAAGAGTGATGTAGAAGCCTGCAGCCTTAGATCATTATTTGTCTTATAACATACAGGAATACACAGTCACATGCTAACTTTCTTTTTTTTTTTTTTTTTGATAAATGCTTGAGCAATATAAAATTAAAGAGGAAGAAAAAATAATCGACCCAAAATTACTAGCCTTCTTAGAATACTTCATCATCATCATCTTATTTGTTGTCTCAGGTTTACGCCCACTCAGATTTATTTATTTATTACCATTTAGAAGTTGAGGACCACTTTGATAATTGGCAGAAGCTAGAAAATGTTCACATATGCAGAGACTGAAATATTTGCACACAGTTTTAGAGCGTTTGTATTTGCTTTCCCCTCCCAGCCCGCTGATAGCTGACCCACAGGTCTCCAATTAGAAGTCACACTTCACAAGGGGGACATTTAATCTCTCTCCCTGTCCTCCAATATGCAAATAAAAACTCAACTCATCACTTTCCTTTGCTGCCTATCAGAAGTATCACAGTTTGGGATTTCAGAGCTAAGTTCTTTCATTCCTAGCTATTGCAGAAAATATAGGAAGGCATACACCTTCCCTGAATAACTCTAGGAACTATGCTAAGCCATCCATATAATTATATTCTATGCATGTACTCTGATCGTTTTAAAAAATTCTCACAAGTATCTTGAAACACAGTTATTATTATTCCTAATTTTACAGATGATGAAACTGAGGCTCAGAGAAGATAAAATCTGCCAAATCACACCATTATTTAGGGGACGGTTTAGTATTCAACGTCAAGTCTGACTGGATCCAAATACTTTCTCTTAACCACAGTCAGAAAAAACAAAAATTACG